>NW_025791797.1:900000-1154574 GCF_000001405.40 Homo sapiens
AACCAAAGAAGGAAGCTGTGTGAGAGAGGGAGCTGTGGTCAAGGCTCAGATTCTTGCCTGGAGGAGGCGAGGTGCTGCAGGGAGGGATGGGTGGGTTGCAGAAAGGGGTCCGTGCTGGTGCACCCTCATGGTTCTGCCATACGGTGCTGCCTCTGAGCACTGCCCAGATCCCAGCATTTCCTTGGTCCTGGCACCAGAAGGCACAGCCTCACCTTGTGTCCAGCCCAGACCTTGACTTGGCAGGAGGTCAGACCCAGAAATTCCCAGCAACTCAGGTCTCCTCCTTGGAGGTTCCTGGAGCCAGAGGCCTCTGCCAGCTCTGACTCACCTCCCCTGGGCCCCAGAGGAGTCTCCCTCCCAGGTCTGGCTCCCCGACCTGGCCCAAAGGGAAACATCACTGGCCTGATCACCTGGCTTGGTGGTCACAGCCCTGAGGAATGGAGTTTCTGGAGAATCACCACCAGGCCAGATCGATCCCTGCTCAGATTCCTTCTCCTAAGTGCCCTTGTGCTTGGGCTCCTGTGCAGCACCTGCCGTGCCATGCCCCACCTCCATGGGTTGGCTGGGGCCACGGCTGGGATCTGGGGGTGATGTCAGTGCAGCCCACCTATCCCTGCTTCTCCCTCAGGCCATTCTTCCAGCTGCCATTGAGGGTGGGGGCAGGAGCTTATTGGCCTGAGTTTGCCAAGGAGTAAAGGCTCTCAGGCCAGATGGGGACCATATGCAGTGTCAAACCAAAGTGGGCCCACACTTCCTCCACTACCCCTGCTGTTGCTTCCTGCTAGAGAGCTATTCACAGTCCCCGCTGAGCAGTCAGATCCGGCCCCATTGTTTCCACCGTGGCCAAGGAACCAGGGATGAGAACAGCTCAGCTCCCAACCTCCCCAGGCCACCACTCAGTCTGAGGCTGAAGACAGGGCCTAGAAGGGGCTGAGGGTCTGCTGAGCAGGCCAAAGAGGGCCTCCCCAGGCAGAAGGCCATGTCTGGGCTTGCCTGGGATTAGTGGTTCTTATGCAGGGCCTGTTCTGTCCCACAGTGGGACTCCTCCTCTTTTGAGTTGCTGCTTCCTCCAGGCAGTTTCCCCAAATTAGCCTCCCTGACTTCCAACCCGATGCCATAATTTCTGGTCTATGCCTTTTGCGGTGATAAGAGCCAAATATAACTTTAACTTTGCCTGCAGATGTCCAGGGCTGGGGGGCAGACAAACACAGGTTAAAAACTGTGATTCATCCCTGTTGGGTTTCCCTCAAACCCCAAGAACAAGCACAGGCTGATGGCCTTGATGGGGTGATCCAGCACCGACCTCACATGCACTGGTCCCTAGCCAGCCTGAGCCAGCTGCCATCTGCTCGAGGAAGTAGCTTCAGCCATTGGAGGAGTTGGAGGTTTGTATACCCTCAGGGCAGCCAGTCCCACCTGGAGGGATATCCAGGAAAGATCCCGTAAGAGCCCCTCGGGTTGAGTTAAATCCCCTCTAGTTATCCCCTCCTCCTGCCAGCACTGCTGGCAACACCAGCACCTTGGCTGGGAAGCTAAGGGAATCAAGTAAGCCCCGCAGACCATATGCACGGGGGTGGCCCAGCAGTCTCAGCAGGCACAGCACAGCTTGGTGCCAGCAAGAGACAGACCAGGGAACTGCAGGTGGCGGCCAGCTACTGGGGTGCCTTATCTGCAAAGACATTGATTCCTAAGAGCAAAACACAGCACACTAAAGTGAGGGAGGCCATAGCACAAGGGGTGGGGGCACATGGCCCTGCAGGATGGAGCCACCACAGTCACCGGCTGGAACGGCTCACAGCAGCTGCCAGGAGCCAACTGTTGAATTTTCAGGAATTTTGAGAGGCAGGTGATACTGCCCACAGTGGGAATATTTATACCAGGAAAAGAGGCAAATACTGAAAATCAGGGTTCCCTCTCCCCAGCAAAGCCCTTTGCGAAACATTTACCTACCCAGCACCCACGGGGAAGGGGGCACATCTCCCTGTGCCTACCCACCTGTGTTAATCAGGGTTCCCTAGAGGGACAGAACTAATAGGAGATATAGACAGATATAGATATAGATATAGATATAGATAATAGATATAGATATAGATAATAGATATAGATATAGATAGATATATAAAGGGGAGTTTATGAAGTATTAACTTACACAATCACAAGGTCCCACAATAGGCTGTCTGCAAGTTTGAGGAGCAAGGAGAGCCAATCCGAGTCTCAAAACTGAAGAACCTGGAGTCCGATGTTAGAGGGCAGGAAGTGTCCAGCATGGGAGAAAGATGTAGGCTGGGAAGCTAGGCCAATCTTACCTTTTCATGTTTTTCTGCCTGCTTTATATTCGCTAGCAGCTGATTAGAAAGATGGTACCCACCAGTATTAAAGGTGGGTCTGCCTTCCCCAGCCCACTGACTCAAATGTTTATCTCCTTTTACAATGCCCTCACAGACACTTCCAGTAGGTCAATACTTTGCAGCCTTCAACCCAATCAAGTTGACACTCAGTATTAACTGTCACACCACCCTTGCACTAAAGGTATACATACACCCACTAGGGCATGGTCAAGGTCAGAGATCTGGGCCAGACAGGAACTGAAGTAGATGGTTGGCCCTAACCACTGAACCACCTGCCTGCGGCCTCCTCCCATCAGAAGAGAGTAGAGCCTGTTTGGCCAGAGTGGAATGGTGGCAGGAAGCAGAGGTACTTTCCGGAGCGCTGGGGTCTGAATGGGTCCATTGAGGCTGGGCCCTGCTGCTTCCTGTAGGGCTGAGTGGGAGAGGCTCACAGAGGCTGCCTTGTGCAGCTGGAGCGCATAGCCAGGGAGGCCCCCACTCCAACAGAGGCCTCTGAGGCCTTGCTGGCCGGGGCTTTGGAAACTCTGACAGCGCTGCTTCCCTCACCTCCTGATCTCCTTTTTCTGCCCCTCTTACACTCTCTGAGGGGCTGCAGTTGCAAGAACCCAGAATCTCTGTCTTGGAGGTAGTGGGGGGGGGGGCAGTTGAAGAGGGGCTTTGAATGGAGAGGGTCTGCACAATAAAGATGTAATAAGCTAGGAGTCAATCCAGAGGACTTCCTGGAGGAGGTGATGGTGGTGTAGAGTCACAGAGAGGGAGGAACAGGCAGTCTCAGAGGACAGCAGCAAGGCCAAGTGAGAGACTGGCAGAGGTATACAGGTCCCCGTTGGCTGGGGTGAGGAGGTTTTCTGCTCCCTCACCCCCCAGAGCCTCTGGCTTATCACAGGATAAGAGCCAGCTAAGCTCCAGGGGCTTTCCAGGAAAAGTGTCTCTTGGAAAGGGTGTGACCTTTTCATCGGTCCTGACAGCACCCTAGAAATAGCTTGGCCTTTTCCCTCCCCTGAGCTCCACAGAGAACACAGCCAGCAGAAGACACATTCCCTGTCATCCAGAAATGGGTTTGATTCTCAGCTGAGGGACAGCAGGACTGGTAGAGACTGTCAGGCCACACAGCTACCTACAGAGCACCCCCATGCTTGGTCGGGGGTGGGAGGGATGGCAGGGTCTGGCTGTCCACAGGCCGGGCATGACAGTGGGGCGCACTGGAAGTGGCGCACTTTGGAGGGGCAATGTCAGGGGAGAGCTTCCTCTTGTTGGGCCACAAGACTCCACAAGGACAGCACGGTGACTGATTCCCAATGCTAGAGGCGAGGCAATCGGTCATGTGTAGGTGTATGTGTGTGTGTGTGTGTGTGTGTGTGTGTATATACACACACATATGTGTGTATATATATATGAGGGTGTGTGTATGTGTGTGTATACATAATTTATTTATTTAGATGGAGTCTTGCTCTGCCACCCAGGCTGGACCTCAGTGGTGCGATCTCGACTCACTGAAACCTCTGCCTCCTGGGTTCAAGCAATTCTCCTGCCTCAGCCTGCCGAGTAGCTGGGACTACAGTCACCTGCCACCACACCGGGCTAATTTTTGTATTTTTAGTAGAGATGAGGTTTCACCATATTGGCCAGGCTGGTCTCAAACTCCTGACCTTGTGATCTGCCTGCCTCGGCCTCCCAAAGTGCTGGGATTACAGGTGTGAGCCACAGCACCCAGCTATTTATAGATATTTATAGAATATGACCTCAACTATTTAAACATATCTGTAAGGGTATAAGTACTTTGATAACAAAGAAGCAATACATACTGATAGAAACTAGCTATCATGTCAACAGTACTTATATTAGGTAGAGAAATTATGTGAGATTTTTATTTTTTTATATTTTACTAATCTTCTCAATAATGGTTGCTTGTAAGTTTTATAATCAAGAAAAAAGATTTCTAAAGTTTTTGCAAAATGGAAAGTTATGCTTCTTTATATACTAAAGACAAAAACAAAACTTCCTATTTGAATACCTTTGACTTTTACTGCAGACTTACAGACCCTTGAAAGAAAAGGCAATTCCCTCCCACTAGTTCTGGTGTCATTCTCCCCATCTCTCCCTTCACTTCCACCTTGGTCTTCTTTCTACTTCCCACCTTGGCTAGTGGTCTCCACCCAAAATGCTTGCTTGGCTTAATGGTTAGAATTCAGGGAAAAAGAGATCCCGAATTGCTAATCTAAACTAAGATTATACATGTGGGAAATAATAAAGAGAAACCAGGTAGTAAATAAGATTTGGAGGACTTAAAATACCCAGACTTTAATTCCTCTAAGATTATAGTTATTAATCATGTTTTTATATAATATTATCATTTAACATTTAATTTCTAAATATAATGTTCATGAGGAAAAGAGAAAATAGCTTGGTTTCTTTCCTTACCGAACTGTTGTCCTTAGTATCTTCTAGACGTTCCAGAACTGATGTCAGATTTGGCTCATCAGAGTCCACAAACCATATCGGTGAAGAAGATGAATAGGATTCCTGTTTAACCCAGAGACACCTATGTTAAATGTTTACATACAGACTAACCCAAATATGCAATTAAACCACACCACTAAATGGCAAGATGACCATGGATTTAAACAAAATGTATGGGGGAAAAGGCAACACGTTTAAACCCATGTGAGGAGCTGGACTTCTGAGACAGCCATTCTCCTTGCATAGCACTGTCTGCTGCTACAGCTCATAGAAGTCAACAATTTTCTTCAACACTGGTAGGCAGCCTCTAAATGGCCCTGATCACCCTCACCTCCTGCCATTCACACCCTTGTAAAATTCCACCCCTGGACCTAGTGACTCACTTCTAACAAAGAGAATACAGCAAAAGTAACATCGCTTCTGAGGTGAGGCTACAAGGAGACTACGATGCCTGCCTTGGTCACCCTTCTCCTGCTCTTTCCATTGCTCCCTCTGATGGAAGCCAGTTGCCATGTGATGAGGTGCCCTATGGAGAGGCCCACGTGACAAGGTATTGTAAAAAGCCTCTGACCAATAGCCATCTAGAAACGGAGGCCCAGTCCAGCAGCCTCTGAGATGAATCCTGCCAACCTGAGCTTGGAGACAGATTCTCTCCCTATCCTGCCTTGGGATGATCACAGCCACCACCAACACCTTCACTGCCTGGTGAGAGGCCAAGCCAGTGAACCCAAGGTAAACTGGACAGAATCCTGACCCACAGAAACTGAGATAATGTTTGTTATTTTAAGCTGCTCAATTTGTTACAGAGCAATAGATAACTAACTCAAACACCATAAAATTCTAATATTTTATTCTATCACACAAACCAAGTAATACCAAGTAAATGCCATTACTATACATATATTTTTGTAACACAATTACATGTGATTTTTTAAAAAAGCTAATGAACTATGCATTATGTGCTTTCACCCACTAACAGACGTTCCCGCTGTTACTTTGTACTGTTCTCTATTATAAATTGGGGAAAAACCATTATTATTATATATTAGTTTCAGAATAACTAGGTTCAAGTCACAGAAAACAATTTTGCACAAACAACTTTAGGCAACACTGCTTTGAAAACTGTAATCTGAGTTAAAGCTGAAGCCACAGAAACCAAATATTTACTGAAGGTTCCTTTTTAAGAAAAGCAAGATGGGCTGGGCACGGTGGCTCGCGCCTCTAATCTCAGCACTTTGGGAGGCCGAGGTGGGCGGATCACGAGGTCAGGAGATCGAGACCGTCCTGGCTAACACGGAGAAACCCCATCTCTACTAAAAAAATACAAAAAAATTAGCTGGGCGCGCTGGCGGGTGCCTGTAGTCCCAGCTACTCAGGAGGCTGAGGCAGGGGAATCACTTGAACCCAGGAGGCAGAGGTTTCAGTGGGCCGAGATGTCCACTGCACTCCAGGCTGGCGATAGAGCAAGACTCCATCTCAAAAAACAAACAAACAAAAAGAAAAACAAGTTGTATTGATGGAGGACATCATTAACAGTATATCTCTTCAATAATGGTTTATTTTACTATTCTCATTCTTCTCATTCCTCTCTTACTGTGTTCCAAATCTCTTTACAGGCTAAAAGAAACTCTTCAGAATTACTCCTATTCTTTTTTTTCTTTTTTGAGACCGAGTTTCGCTCTTGTTGCCCAGGCTGGAGCGCAGTGGCACGATCTCAGCTCATCACAACCTCCACCTCCCAGGTTCAAGCAATTCTCCTGCCTCAGCCTTCCTGAGTAGCTGGGATTACAGGCATGTGCCATCATGCCCCACTAATTTTGTATTTTTAGTAGAGACGGTGTTTCTCTATGTTGGTCAGGCTGGTCTCGAACCCCTAATCTCAGATGATCCACCCACCTCGGCCTCCCAAAGTGTTGGGATTACAGGCATGAGCCACTGCGCCCAGCCAACCCTATTCTTAAAGAACACCAGTTCCTCAGTATTGCATTTTCTTCTATAAATTCTTCAGCATACACTGAGAATACACCATATGGACTATTTTTACACTTTTAATTTTCGTTTTTTTTTACTTTTGGCTAAGGAAATTTCAATTAGATTTAGGACTTCATTCTGTTAGGTTAGTATTTTCTAGTAAACTTCAGCATAAGCAAAATAAAATACGTGTTGTTGCTCTGGACTGAAACCCCTCAAAACCATATTTTAAAAATTACAAAAAAAAATTAACTGAAATCAAGTTTTTAAAAACCTTGTAGATGAAAAGATATGATATCTAGTACGTCTAAGTACCTATTTCAATGGTTCCCAAAGTGCGGCCCTCAGACCCCCAAGTCCAAACTATTTTGACAGGAATACTAACATGGTGACATTTGCTGTAAGTGTGCAAATACAATGGTGGGTAAAAATGCTGGTACTTTAGCACAAACAAAAGCAGTAACACCAAACTACTAGTAGTCATGGTATTCTTCATTATGCACAGGAAAGGTTTAAAAAGGAAGGGTGGGTGGGACATGGTGGCCTACACCAGTAATCCCAGTGCTTCGGGAGGCTGAGGTAGACGGATCACTTAAGGTCAGGAGTTTGAGACGAGCTTGGCCAACATGGTGAAACCCCATCTCTACTAAAAATACAAAAATTAGCTCGGTGTGGTGGTGCATGCCTGTATTACCAAATACTTAGGAGGCTGAGGCAGGAGAATCACTTGAACCTGGGAGGCAGAGGTTGCCTTGAGCTGAAATTGCACCTATGTAACTCCAGACTGGGCAACAGAGCAAAACTCCATCTCCAAAAATAAAAATAAAAAAGAAGGGCAACAAAAGGTCAGTTTCATTTAAGAATGTCTATGATAAGTTTGGGAATTTTGGCTCATGTCTGTAATTCCAGCACTTTGGAAGGCCCAGGCAGGGGGATCCCTTGAGCCCGGGAGTTCAAGACCTGCCTGGGCAACCTGGTGAAACCTCATCTTTACAAAAAATACAAAAATTAGCTGAACACAGTGGCTGCATGCCTGTAGTCCCAGCGTCTTGGAAGGCTGAGGCAGGAGGATTGACTGAACCCAGAAAGTTGAGGCTGCAGTGAGCTGTGATCACGCTACTGCACTCCAGCCTGGGTGACAGAACAAGGCCCTGTCTCGAAAATTAAAAAAAAAAAAAAAGAATGTCTATGATGAAGCAGTGAATATTTTACTATATCTAAATCATTGAATATATCTTTTTAATATTTCAAGTGATGAAATGGGAAGTATACATGAGCATTCCTACAGGCTGCCTGAGGAAAAACCCTTGAGTGACTAAGTCATGAAGTGAATTAACCACTTTAATGGAATACCATTTTTACTTGAAAGGCTGACTGACAAAAAATGTTATTTTAACTCGCATTTCTGGCAGATATTTTCTCAAAACATGAGATTCTGTCATTTCAAGGAAAACAACAGACAGGCTATAATAAAATTCAATAACAAAATTACTAATAAAATTCAAGCTTTTGAACAAAAAATTAGAATTTTAGAAAACTTATGCCCACCATCGCTTTCCAAAAGTATTCTGATGAGATTGATGGTGGTACTGATGAATGTATTTTGATACTGTACAAATGTATCAACATGTAGAAGATCTTAGTGAACCACTGTTTTATAAGTGACCAATGCACGATGTTGTAATATCATGCAAGGGTGGAAGATCCAAAGTTCAAGAAAAACCAAGATTTGATGGAGTATCAAAAAAGAAGCCTAGGCAACATGGCAAAACCCTGTCTCTACAAAAAATACAAAAAGTTAGCCAAGTGTGGTGGTACACACCTGTAGTCCCAGCTACTCTGGAGGCTGAGGTGGGAGGATCACCTTAGTCCCTGGAGACTGAGGCTGCAGTGAGCTGTGATCACACCACTACCTTCCAGCCTGGGCAACAGGGCAAGACCTCATCTCAAAAAAATATATATATCCACAATGATCTAAAATGGTTATCTGTATGAGATTGGCCTTTGTTCACATTTTTTCAAGAAAATATCACACAATAAATTGAATGCAGAAGCAAACTGACATATCAATTTGCTAATGACATATCAAACATCATGCAAATGACATATCAAACATCAAAATAATTTGCAAAAGATGTAAGACTGTACTACTTTGGGTTTAGAAATTTTCTTTTCATAAAAGCATTTATAACAATATGTGGTGAGCTTTTAAACAATACTTTAAATATTTCTGATTTAATTTCTAGTGATAAATACCAATAGATATACCCTACATAAACCAAAGCTCCTTGGGACCTCAATGTATTTTTAAGAGTGTAAAGGAATCCTGACCCCAAAACTTGGAGAACTGCTGCCTTCCCCTCCACTTTCTTCCTTCTCTAGAATTTCTTCCTTGGAAGAAACATCCCTTTGCCATTCTATATTAACTTACATAGTTCCACTGAGGCAAGTTTTGCTACCTCCCTCCCATCTTTCCACCTCTCTCTCAACACAAAACCTGACCAAAGCATTCTACCAGCCCACCCCATTTCCAGTGATTAGCTGTCAGATGGGCTAAGCCAAACAAATCTGGGTTTTCCCTGAGACTAGACCTCTCTTTCTGGGAGAGATGGAATCACAGGGACAAGGTTGGCCACCTTGGGGTAGTGAGAATTCATCCTGCCTAAACAGGGAGAATTCAAACAAGTTTCTAGAAAGCCAAACTACTTTCTAGAAAGTCAAAGATAATTATATTTTTTGCCATGACTGTAAGAATGCCCATTTCATTGCACACTTTCTAACATTTTTACCAATCTGATAAATAAAAGCTGGTACTGAGATGAAAAAAAGGCTGGGCACAGTGGCTCACACCTGTATTCCCAACACTTTGGGAGGCTGAAGTGGGCAAATCACCTGAGGTCAGGAGTTCAAGACCAGCCTGGCCAACATGGTGAAACTCCGTTTCTACTAAAAATACAAAAATTAGCCAGGCATGGTGGCATGCGCCTGTAATCTCAGCTACTCGGGAGGCTGAGGCAGGAGAATTGCTTGAACCCAGGAGGTGGAGGTTGCAGTGAGATCACGCCATTGCACTCCAGCCTGGGTGACAAGAACAAGACTTCATCTCAAAAAAGAAAAAAAAAAAAGAAAAAAAAAGTTCCCATACAATATAATTTCTTCCATCTCTGGAAACAAATTCAGCAATGAGAACTGAAAGTCACCACGTGGAAGGTTTCAAGGATTTACGTCTACCTACTGATGTCTAAAGCATTAGTTAAGTTACAAAAAAATACGCACACACGCGCACGCACACACACACACATACCCGTATGTATTCAGTACCAGAAAACATGACTGACTACATGGTAAAGTCATCCAACAGAAAGCACACAATAACTGAAGGCAATGTAGAGGAGTAAGTTATAACATGGATCTACAATACTGTTGAGTGAAAAAGCAGATTACAAACAAATATCTGATTTTTAAGGGAGAGGAAACATATATAAGCACAGGAGAAAAGAGGTGAGCAGATGACTGGAAAGATACAAATTTCTGACAGTGGCACCTTCTGAGTGGTAGAATTACATAGGTAATATTTTCTAGTTTTGCCTAAAAGTTTTCTAAATTTCTTAAAATAAGAAGGTTTTGTTTTCCATATTACAAAATATCCATCACCCCAGGAAATTTAACCTTCGGCACAAACTCTACAACATGTTCAAAGTTTGTTCAGTTGAATATTTAAGAGACAATCTATTTTGAAAGACATTTAAAATGACCAATATTTAAACCTATGCATTAATATTTTTCAATCACGTTTTAAATTTTGTAATTTTGATAAGTTTTAGATCCATCTTGAAAAGATAAATTTTCTGTTTGTCTTTAAAATATTACCTACAATATGCCTGTTTTTATACAGTTAATGGTGCTCAAAAATCGCAATATAAATTCAGGCAGTGTTCCTTCTATAGAATGTGTAAGTGCTTCTAATACTGCTCTTTTTCACCAGTTATGAAAACACGGAACAATTATCTAAGCATCTAATTATTCAGGTCCTTTGTTTCTCCTCCATTCTGTTAGTTTTATACTAATTTCAAGGCCTGTGAGGATGAAGTTGTCTGTGACAGCTACCACAAAGGTTACTATAAGCAGACAAATTTCCAGCAAGTTTATCACCACTACCATCCCACCATAAAACTGTCTCAATCAAGGGCAACACAATTCAAGGTTAGTCAAGACAACCTCTTTACCTGTCACTGCTTAAGAAAAGGATTTTTTGGTCTTATTTAGAAATAACTTTATCTATTTTTCTCCATAATTCCACTGAGACCAATGTGTGCCTCTATCTCAAGCACCAGCAAGCAAAACTGCCTGCCAGTATGTTCAGTTTTTGTATCTTTCCAAATGTAGGGCACAGCTATCTTTTGATATCATAATTTTTTGAAAACTGATGCACAAACTTCTTCTTGAAAGTTCAGCCAGGTGCGGTAGCTCACACCTGTAATCCCAGCACTTTGGGAGGCTGAGGCAGGCAGATCACGAGGTCAGGAATTCAAGACCAGCCTGGCCAACATGGTGAAACCTGTCTCTACTAAAGCTACAAAAATTAGCCAGGTGCGGTGGCAGGTGCCTGTAATCCCAGCTACTCAGGAGGCTGAGGCAGGAGAATTGCTTGAACCTGGGCAGCAGAGGTTCCAGTGAGCCAAGATTGCACCAGTGTACTCCAGCTTGGGTGATAGAGTGAGACTCCATCTCAAAATAAAAAATAAAAAAAAGAATTTCAGATATACAGCAGTTGTAATTCTTCTGAAGGCTGCTTATGGGACACATTACTTTCATAATTTGCTGTTCAATAAATGTGGGGTGGAGAATAAAGTAAATTGACAGAATTACCATATAAAATAAAATTCTAAGTCCTCTGACAACAAAAACTTACACACACACACACACAGCTTTCCCTGCTAATCATTTTACAACAACCAAGTAGCTAACCCAGAGCCCACAAAAGCAGAGTCAAAATTCTAACACTTGGTAAAATAAAAATGCACATATATCCCTGTCACCTAAAAAAAAATGCTTACGTATTCAAAGACAGCAATTGTAGCTACTGAGAACATCATTGTAAGCAAACTGAGGCAGAGAAAACAAACGTGCTGATGAGGATTTGAAACACCTAAGCTGCAGAAACCCACTGGATGGTTTCCTAGGTTCCGAGTTAGCATTATCTTTCAGAACGATCTTCTAGAAGAGATCACATAACACTGTTACAAAGGATCTGGAGAAAGGGACCCTGGCTTCATCACTCTGGCTCTCCAGTCATGCTTTACATTTTCACTTCTTACACTCTCTTTCATAGGAAGTCAATTTACAGGCTTCCACCAAGCCCTTAAGAGACGTTTTTGTACTATCCATGACAAGTTCTTGATGTTATGTCTGCACTTCTGACAAATTCTTAGCAGTTAACTTACTAGGCAGTTAAGGTTTTTGTTCAAGCACAATATAGCTAGAATAGGGTCATACATTCAATAAAACAAATATTTACCAAGCATTTATTGAGTGGAAGATAAAAAGCACAAAGCATAATTATAAAACATTCTCCCCTGCCACCATAAAAATTTTTTTAAAGCCTTACAGAATATAGCATAACATGACCAAAGCAAAAATAGTGAGGACTAAAGAGGGGAGGAAGGGGAAATATCAGCATGAATTAAATATGACCCAGAAGAGCCTTGATGGTCAGACACGTAAAGACAAATTGGGTAGGGTTAGGGGGTGGCTGTCAGGGGCACATTCTACAGGGGAAAAACAGCTGATACAGAAGCCTGAAAGGAAAAGCGGGCAGAGCACCTGGACAGGACTCTTACCTGCTGCATCCAGGGTACAATGCGCCTTTCCAGAACACAGCAGCGACCCGGGGTAGAGGGATCGCTCAAACAGCACCAGAGGCTGCATTCCAACTTTTCCTCCATCAACGAGTCCGTTTTCATTGTTAGTTTCTCCTTAAACACGATTGGCTGAACATGCGGGAACAAGGAAAACCTGACTGAAGAACGAGGCATTTAAGCTTAAGGGCCTTGGATCTGGGCGCGGTGGCTCAGGCCTGTAATCCCAGAACTCTGGGAGGCAGAGATGGGTCATTTGAGGTCAGGAGTTCGAGACCAGCCTGGCCAACATGATGAAACCCCATCTCTACTAAACAACACAAAACTTAGCCAGGCGTGGTGGCGGGCGCCCGTAATCCCAGCTACTCGGGAGGCTGAGGCAGGAGAATCGCTTGAACCCACAGACTGTCAAGAGATGGAGGCTGCAGTATGCCGAGATCGCTCCACTGCACTCCAGCCTGGGCGACAGAGTGAGACTCCATCTCAAGAAGCGCCTGCCACCATGCCCGGCTAATTTTTGTATTTTTAGTAGAGACAGGGTTTTACCATGTTGGCCAGGCTGGTCTAGAACTCCTGACCTCAGGAGATCCAGCTGCCTCAGTCTCCCATAGTGCTGGGATTACAGGAATGAGCACTGCGCCCGGCCAAAAAACCGAAAATCTTAAAGGCCTTTCCCCTTCCCTCACTGGGCTCAAACAACAGCGGGAGCCGCCCTGCCACGCCCCGTCGCGGTCCAGGGGAGCAGGCTAGCTGACTGAGGGCGATCATGGGCCCCAAAAGGTCTGCGGGCGACGCGGGCTCCCACCTCAGGGCGCAGCGACTGGGGCGAGAGGTGCCGGCAGCCCCCAAGCCAGCCCCGCGGCAAGGAGCCAGAGAGACGCGCCCTCCCCCTCCTCCCACGCAAGCCTCACACAGCGGGGCGGGCCAGACGCGGGAGAAAGGGGCGCGCTCGCCCCGCCTGGGGAACCGGGGCCTCTCCCGGGCAGGCTCCCCTTTGTCTCGGGACTCTGGGCGCCTCCTCTCCGCCCTCGCCCTGCCCCGTGAGGCCGCCACTGGGCGCCTCACCGTGATGTTGCAGTGGAGCGTGAGCTGCGGCGGGGGCTCCTGGTTCTTGTGGAAGATAGAGGCCAACAACCTCAGCTTGGCCTTGAACCCTCACACGGACATTTTACTCTCACCTCTGGCGGGAGGGGCGCGGAAGGTGAGCCCGTCGGGAGCCGCTGTCACGGCCGCAACCACCCGCGGGACCTCTCGGCGGCGCTCTCCCAGCTCCGCCTCTCCCTGATGCCTCAACTCTATTCGGAGTAGGGCTGGAAAATGGCAAGGGGCACCGAGGCCTCTGCGGGGAGCTGTGTGGCGGCCTGGGCGGCTGCTCCCCTTGTAACAGACTCCACCGACAGGAGACGCTGCTCCTGTCAAGCCGCAGCTTAAAAGGGCAACAGCACCACAGTCCCCGCTACCGCCTGGGAAAGGGCTGCCCCTACCCCGCTCCCGTCCCTCTCGCCCCTCACACCCGTCGCCCCTCACCCCTCAACCCGCGCGCCCCCTGCGCACCCGTTTCGGCGGCTGCAGGAGTCCAGAGCATGCGCGCGCTTCCGGCTGCCCCTCCTCGCCTTGACCCAGCACTGCTGGACCCATCTGGTCCGTTCTTCACACTCGCGGACTGGAGGCTCCGGGCAGCACAACCACCAACTCGTGTGTGTGTTGGGGTGGGGGTGGGGGGCAGAAAACCACCAACTCGTGTGTGTGTGTGTGTGTGTGTGTGTGTGTGTGTGTGTGTGTGTGTGTGTGTCTCCCAAGGGAACAGCACTGCTGAGTTCAGGCTATCAGCTCATGGACTGTCAGCAAAATACAGTCACAAGAAGGCTATGTGCTGTTTTGTCTCTTGCAGTGACGTCATGTTGCTCATGTTTTATGTTTTTCAGAGTTCATTAGTTTCTGTTTGCTCTCAGTTAATATCCAGCTCAATAGATTGTGTAAGTAGAATACCCCCAAACTGAAAGTCACCTACATAAAATATAGTGAAAAATATGTCACCCACTTAAACTATAGTTGAAAATATGTACTCATTAGTTTTGTGTAGCCAACACTGGATAATGGGTAAGGGGAAAGGATCCCAGGGCTAGACTGCCTGGGTTCAAGTTCCGATTTCCTGCTGGCTGTGAAATACTTGACAGCGTTCAGCCTCTGTTTCTTTTCTTTTTTTTTTTTTTTTTTTAGCTTAATCCCAAATATGATAGTAAGTCTCAGTTTCTTGATCTGAAAAACAGAAATTATTCAATGACAGTCTATGTGAAAACTTTAAAGTTTTCAAAGCCACTATCTAGCTTAGGAAAGTCCTCAGCTTTAGGGGTTAAAGTTTTTAAAACCACTGCCTGGTTCAGGAAAGCCCTCAGCTGTAGCCATTATTAGCTATGATTATTATTGTGGTGGCTACACATACATTAATGAGGCAGGAAAATGCTCAAGGATAACAAGCAAGTATCCAGATTATCTCATCAGACCAAGACAGATGCATATGCATGCATGATCATGTTTTAGCTCAGAGCCATTTGTCTAAAAGGCTCTTGAACTCAGAGGCCCAGGAGTATCAACTTTGCTTTGCAGTGGAGCCATCGCTTTTGTTAATCAATGAAATTGACATAATGCTCTTCTTTTTTTTTTCCTTTTTAGCACCAACCATGTGCCTAGAGCTAACTGTGTTAAGAAGAGCATGCTTCAAGTGGCTGGAGTGAGCAATTCAACTTGTGGAGGAATGAGAAGTGACAGTGTTGAGACAAGCAACATAAAACCCCAGGGTAAGGTAGAAATCACTGAAAGTCAGGCAAAGGAACTGGCGTCCAGTAATGAGTCAGGCTTTGCCAGCCTCTGGCCCTACAGATGGCTCTTTGCAGAGGAAAAAATTAAGCCAGGCCCGAGGGCACAGATCCTAAGGGAATGCTGGCAGCTCTAGGCTGTCTATGAGAGTCCAGAGATGCTGCTTCACCCTGGGGCTTTAGGCAAGTCCCTTTCCCTCCCAGAGCCTCAGCATCCCTTCTAGCAAATGACGTTCTGCCTTTCTCCTAGGATGGCTGTGGGGATCAAGGGAGACAGTGGCCATAGGGATACTATGTTAACTGCAGATGCGGCTGTAGGAGCACTTTGCTAACTTCCAGCGTGAGTTCAGACTCTTCAGGCTATTTGGCACCCAGATCTATGGTGAGGTGTGACATATGGGATGTAAAGTTTGATGCCTGCTCCGACTCCAGTCTTGCTAACACACACGAAACCTTTGGTAAATCATGACCCTGCCTTGGGGAAAAGGGCAGTCTGGGAGAGCTTCTTCAAGGCAGCCTGGCTTCAATGCAGTCTGGGGCATGACTGAGATAGGCATACGTGGTGAGGAACTGGAGGGCAACTGGGTAAAGAGCTGCAGTGTGGGCAGAGGTGTAGTGTGGGTCACATCGCGGATAGCCACTGGCCAAAGCAGGGAACAGAGACAGAATGAGGAAGAGCTCTGTGGGGAGGGTGGGGCACAGGGTGGAGAACCTTCAAAGTCCAAAGAGTATGACTTGTTGGGATTCAACGCTGTAGGCAGTAGGGAGCCATGGAAGGCTCTGAGGTGGAGAAATGACAGCCGGACATTAGTGAGCAAGCCCTGTCTCCGTGAGCAGCATGGGTGGTCCTCTGAGCATGCCAGGCACGAGTGTGCAGGGAGCTGGTGCAAATGCCTCTGTGTGCGGGTGAGCATCTGTGTTGTGACTCTGCCCACCCATGTGCTTCAGTGTGCCGTGTGGCTGCACGCCCCAGATCCATGTGGCACGTGCCGGCCGGTGAGGGTGCTGGGCATTGGGAGGTGGCGGGGAGGGCGACGTATGCGTGTTGTTTGTGGGCATGTGTGTTAGCGTGTGCATGTGGGCCGTGGGGCCTCACAGCATGTGTGTGCACACTCCGGCATGTGCGTGTGTCCCCCACCCCCAGGCCTGCCCCACCCATGCATGTGACCTGCCATGTGATTTGATGCTGTCTTTCAGAATCACTATCAGTGGCCCCTGAGGAGCGTCAGCCATGGTAGGTACATGCCTCACTGCCTGCTGCATGAATGGTCTGCCTGCCCCGCTGCCCCAGCTCCACACAGGGGGCATACCTGGAGCCTCAGAGCCAGGCTCCCTGCCCCTCCCTTCTAGAGCTGCAGACTTGCTCTTTCCTCTTTCTGTCCTTGTGCTGCTGGCTGTCTCACTTTGCTCCCTGTGAGCCACGGGACTCAGTGCCACTGCTGAAGGTCTCCATGGCTGAGCCTGGGGGCTCTTACAACAGGCTCCATGCCCAAGGTGGCAGATGTGGAACCATCAGAGAGGGCACAGAGCTCATGGTTTATGGTGTAGGGGCTGGGAGCTTGGAGGGGGTTGTGTGGGGGGCTGGACTCAGGCGGCCAGAGGCCTGGGCACATCATCCTGGGCACGCCGTACCTGTCATGCAGTCTGAGTCATGCTGCCAGGGCAGGTATCCAGCTCCCAGCCTGGGAGTGCCAAGAGCCAAATCCACTGCAGATTAGGGGTGATAGTCACGGTCCCACGTCCTCTATCTGTCAGCAATCCAGTGGTGATCTAGGATAAAAGCCTGAGAGTCCTATACACGCGGTCATCCCACAACACACTTCATAGGCCATGGAAGGACACACAGCCCCCTTCCCTCCCTCCCAGGTACCATGATAGCTGCTAGCGTGCGACTGAAGGCAGGGTCCCTGGCCCCTGCTGAAGCACTACTGCTGGCCAGCAGGCTCACGCACCTTGGCCTGTTGCTTCTAGGGGTCGCCTGTGATATTCAGCCAATAGTGCTGCTGGCCCAGCTGAGCTCCACCTAGAGAGCTCACTTCCCTTTCCTGCCGCGGAGTCTCCCTCTTCTGCTTTTCCCAGCAGGAAGGGCCCAGCCTCACCTATGTAACCTGCAGCCCCCCGCCAACCAGTTGAGGCTGCCCTGTTAGACTTAGAAGTCTATGGCCAATGGCATCTGGCTACCTGCCCTCCCTGCCTTCCCCAGGGTCCCTCAGAGGACCCTGGGCTTTCTGATGGCCCAGAGGGGCCTCTGGCATTCACTCCAGCCAGCCATCCCGTATAGCTCCACCATTTTGGTTCAATCAGTGTTCCTTCTCTATCAGGTCTGGTGGCTGTTGGATGGGGCTCTCCAAGCAAGAGGTGGCCCTGGGCCGTGAGTTGGAAGACAGGGTGACCAGAGAAGAGAGAAGCCCGAGGGGGCTGAGCATTCATCTGAACTATGGGTGGACTGCCTGGGTGCCATGAAAGAGGCCAGCGTGTGTGGGGTGGGGAGGGCCGCCGCAGTCCCCAGGCACTACCTATGAAGCTCCGGCTTCTCCCTCCATCTTCCTCCCCTTTCCCTTCCAGCCCCTCTTTTCCAGGAACCTTGCCATGCCCACACCTACGCCCTCCCCTCCCCGGCCCTCCACAGCTGCTGCAGCGCACCCATACTCTGCACTTGCCTCACCAGCTCTGGCTTTTCTCTAACCCGTTTTCTCTCTGCTTTCTCTCCAACTGCCAGCTGATTGGGTCAGGCAAGTCCATCCCATCCAGGGAGCCCCAGGCCCCACTTCGACCTCTAAACAGATTCCTCCTCTTCTCAGAGACCTCCCTTTCCAAGCCTGCCTGGGTGGGTGTCCTGTGACTTGACAGTGGCTCCCCCAGCCCCAAAGCCAGCCCCCTTCTTCTGTGACTTAGTCTGTTGTAGTGGTGAGCTGACACGTCCAGGTTTGACCGTTGCTGAAACTTGTGCCCCCTCTGTGGTATGCCCCTGCCCTGTTCTATAAATAGCTATAAATTCTCTCTCTCACACACACACACACATATATACATATATATACGTGGCCAACTGCCTCGCCTCTAGCACTGGGAATCAGTCCCCGTGCTGTGCTTGTGGAGTCTTGTAGCCCAGCAAGAGGAAGCTGTCTCCTGACATCGCCCCTCCAAAGTGCACCACCTCCAGTGAGCTTCCGGGACATGCACGGCCTGTGGACAGCCAGCCCCCGCCATCCCTCCCGCCCTTCTGGCCAAGCATGGCGGTGCTGTGCAGGCAGCTGTGTGGCCTGACAGTCTCTACCAGTCCTGCTGTCCCTCGGCTGAGAAACCCATTTCTGGATGACAGAGAATGTGTCCTCTGCTGGCTGTGTTCTCTATGGAGCTCAGGGGAGGGAAAAGGCCAAGCCATTTTTAGGGTGCTGTTGGGAGCAGTGAAAAGGTCACACCCTTTTCAAGGGACACTTTTCCTGGAAAGTCCCTGGAGCTTAGCTGGCTCTTACCCTGTGAAGCCGGCTCTGGCCACTAGGGGACAGGGCCCTGAACTCAGCCTGGAGGGAACCTGCGGGGCAGCCGGCACTCTGGAGGGACAGACAGGCCACCCGGTGCAGACAGGAGAGGGAGGCAGGGGGACAGAACGGAAGACACCTGGGGTGGATGGAAGTCAGTGCCCTTGGGCACTAGTATCTGTCTTCCCTGCCACAGCTAGATCAGGCTTCTCAACCAGTTGGCTGTCAGGGCCAGAGTGTACTCCGTAGGCGCCATGGCAGTCCCCATGAAATCCACCAGGTGTCACCAGGCAGCATACAGGTAACAGGCCTGGAAGGTCCCCAACAGCCCAGCTGGACATGCTGAGACACTCTGGGGCTCCTCATTCAGTGGGACAAACTGCAGGACCCAGTGAGGGAAATGGGAACATACCAGGCCGAGCAGTATGGCTAAATCCATTTATTCCAAAATCAAAAGCAAAAAACAAAAAACAAAAAACAGGAGTCCCATCACCAGGCAGCCATGACCCCATCCCCGCCTGCTTCCTCGCTCCTATGCTAGCAATAAATAAGTTTCCCAGCCGCGAATAATTATAAGAACCTCTTCCTCATATGCCAGCTGCAACCTCCGCTAGGTACGATACAGAATGTTACACAGCTACAGTATGTACACGGGGGAAGGGGGGCCACCCCCAGCAGCCTGTGCCCTGGCCTGGTCTACAGTTAACTCCACTGTCCCGCCTCAGCTGCCTCTCTGAGTAAGAAGATGGGAGCCCCCCTGAGGGAAAAGTTGCTTTGGTGAGAGTAAGAAGGCCGTCAGACCTCCTCCAAACAAACCAACTCCACCAACCTCTGGCTCTTAAATAACAAACATCATCATCCAGAAATGTAAGGACTCAGCCTTGGTCAAGGTGGTAAAGGGTCTGTTTGTCTCCCTCCATTAGACAAGGGTCTTGTCTTGCTACCCTAATGGTAAAGGGCTGACTGGGGAGGGGTTGTAGGGACATGGTGGGGGTGAAGACTCCAGACCCACTTCTCCAGGCTTATGCTGACAGGGGCCTGCTTTTATTTATTTTTATTTTTATCCCATGACTTTTTTTAAATCCTGTAACTAGTTTTTCATAACTTTTTAAAATAACTTTTCATAAAACTTTTTTTTTACTTTTTTTCCACAACTTTTTTTTGCCACTTTTCCACAGTATTTTTTTATCCTGTAACTTTTTCATCCCACAACTTTAATTTCTGTTAACTTTTTTAGTTTGTGTTCTTTTAATAAACACACTTACATAGTTACAATTTTGTAAGAATAAAAACCGATTACCTCATGCCAAGCATGCCGAGAATTTGCAGAGTCTCAATACCCAATACTATAGTTTTCAAGACACACAAAATTTTTAGGCAAAACAGCACCTTGAAACAATTTAATAATGTATTACATTACAGTAGCATCACAGCAGCAGTCAATAATGCCACTTTAGACAAAAATCAGTATTTCCATTATGCATTCTGTGTATAAGAATTCATAAATCGGTAAAAGTCATTCTAAGAAAACTTGGCAAATACAGCTTTGGACTGGAATTGGCATTTCTTTGTCTACTTTTCCTTCCCCTAGATTCTTTGTTTTAAACTACAGTATTCATATTTTAAAATGTTTTAAATTATTTTAAGACGTTAATATAGCAGTTACATTTTTGAATAGTTATTTGAAAGTGACTGTAAGATAAAGTTTTAGAGAATCTATTATGGATAGGGTTGATTTACATTTTCACATTTTCTAAAAATCAGCTTTGGTTTTAGAACTGATTGTTTTTCATTTTGGGAAAACCTACCAGGTTTAATCAATTACTTTAAAAATAATTATCATATTTTGCAGTCTTTAAATAGGTGTTTTGATTCTTTACTCCCTACAGAAATTCAAATTTATTCAGTTGAAGTCACATTTTAAAATTCTATGTTCCTGCTGAACTCTAACCTTCTAATGTTGCCTTCTAAGCAAATTAAAGGCTGCCTTATACTGAATGAGGTAGAGAACAAATACTTGGCTGAATGAGGTACTGCAAAAGACTGCATGCACTTTGAAGAAAGACTTGAGTTATTGTCATAGGATTTCCATTCTCTTTAGCTTTTTCTTAAACATATGACAAAATACCTACACAAAGAGTCGTATTTGAATTAATATAGTATATTTATTTTTCAGACTGACATTCATCTTAAATATGCCAGTATGTGATTTAATCCACAGGTACCTGATGAACACATTATTGTCAGATTGGTTACAGTTGCTAAACGCTATCTGAAGGTCATTCCTAGTCATTTATACGTGTCAGGGTAAAAGTGAAGCGATTTGAACTATAAAAATACCTTTGAAATAATTTATCAATGTATTAGATAAGCTCAGTTTCAGAATGATAAACAAAAACTGTTAGACCAAATAACGTGGCTAATTAACAGTGGTACGATTTCTAGCCCGAGGGTTTAAAATGGAGTTAAAGTAAGTGTCTTTAAACTGAACTCAAAGAATGCAAAAGCGGCAAGTTCAGACAAGGCAAGAACAGGACCTTTAGTCCATTTTAAGCCATAAATATTACACAAAATATGCCTCTAACTGAAACTGAGAGGTATAAAAACATATTTCACTCTTCGTAAAGAACTTTGTGAGGAAATATAACTCTGTGATTGTATAGACACTTTCCTCATGACACTTTGACAGTCACAAACAGTAGATTGCGCTGCAGTTTGTAAACATTTTACGTTGCATAAACTGCTCCTTGATTTTCAAATGTAGTATAATACTGTCTACTAAAACTCCTTTTTGTTTCAACTAAGTACTCTCACATATATTAGTTTATAATAATGTTTGTTATTATTTTTAAAGTGTTCTCCATTCAAGGAAAAGAAGTAAATTCCTATGTCAGATGGTTGAAGACTAGCTATTAGCCAGAGAGGTCTAGATGGTAAAATCCATCTTCTAGCCTCAAATAAGCTCCATGAACACAGAGGAATGCCAGGTGTCACACAGCTTTCCTTCACTCGAATTCATTCTTGACTAGAGCCTGTATATGCCTGTTCCAGGGGCATTTAAACTCTTAAAGGATTTCTTCTGATCTTTACTAAATACATTAAGGAGAACGCCAACCAGTGCCCTTTTGTGTACTGGGACATGTAGTCATGTGATTAAAACAGGGAACATGAACTCTGACTTTAAAATGTATTGTAGATATAAATGCTCTCAGCTAGAAAAGGTTTTCCACATCCACAGTCATGATGGGAGCCTTTCATTCCTCAGAAATAATCCCTTTTCAGGTCATCAAAAAAGAGTACAACTGCCACAGCTCATGAGGCAGTATCTTCATGAGCCCAGAGCACATACAAATCCTAAGGGAACTACCGTAGTACAGCGCTCATTCTTGGCACCGGAACAAATGAAACATATTCTATCCTGCACACACCTGCCAAAGCAGGCCACTTTCCTCTTCTGGGAGATTTAAAAACCTCCCCAAAATGTTATTACTCCCATCCCCAATACACAGAAAAAGGGGGAAAGGCTGTTTCCAGTGCTCCACCTTTAAACAACTGTAAATGTCAGTACTCACAGTGGCATATTACAAAGTAATAGACCGCGCACTTGAGGGCAAACCACATATTGAGCTAATGAAGAGCTCACTGTGATTAGGATTCGATCAAACATAACAGCAGAACATAAGGAAATTTTATCTGAATTCCGTAATGAATATACAGGCTGTACTAACATTAAAAAAGCATGGCAGCCTATCCCAAACCAGCAAGAACAGTTGTGTGCATACAGTGGGTCTTTGTGTGTTTGAACTCCCACCACATAAGGGCAAACTCGATATGCATGCTAACGTCCTATAATTATCAAATTAAAAAAATGCTAAAAGATGCCAGAGTGAACATGAGAGAAAGACCCACTCTCATTTAACTTTTTACAAATAAATTTAAATTATAAATTAGAAACACAAATAAATTTAAACTATAAATTAGAAACACAAATAAATTTAAATTATAAATTAGAAACACAAATAAATTTAAACTATAAATTAGAAACACAAATAAACATAAGTGGCTCTAACATTCAAATGAAGTAAATGAATTGTGTAGGATATTAACCCCTTAAATGTTTTGTTTTTTTTTTTTTTTTCAATTTCTTGACCCGCTCTTAGATGATGGTGATGTTTAGCTCCCTGTTCTCCGCAGCCCGAAAAGAATGGCATGCAGCCTCTTCTGCTCCTCCTGCCGCCTCTCCTGTACCAACAGCTTCTCCACTCAAGCCTGGGTGCTCCTGGGGAGTCCTGCATTAGAGGAAGCAGCTGCTGGATCTGCTGTGCAGTGGGGTTGTCATGGGGGAGAACCCTCCCTGTCCTCTCCCGGTGCAGCCTCCATGCTATCAGTGAGGCTCAGCTCACTAAGATCTTCAGAGAGAGGGAGGGGGTGGGAATCTGGGCACAGTGCGAGCCTCCCCTGCTCCTGCCTGCCCACCCCGCCTGAGGGCTCTACTCACCACCCTGCTTGTCCGCACATCCAAGCTCCTTGTGGGACTGGGGCTCCAGGTACTGGTCTGGCTGCTGCTGCAGACTCGGAGCCTCTTGGCTCTTCAGCTCCACCTGCCGGAAGACCCTGGGCATGAGGACATGTGGTGGCTGGCTTCCAGATTCCTGGCCCATTAATAGGGTAGCGAGGACACTGTGGGGCTCTGTGGCCTGCCCAGGCCCCTGGCCCCTTGCTCCAGGCCTAAGAGACTGTCTCCCTTGCCTAGAACCCCATGCCTCCTTCCCTAGCATCAAATCTCACGTCCTTTTTCCCAGCATGTAAACTGTAGGCCACAGACTGGTGGAAAAGCAGGCGGAGCCAACCACCATCTGCTAAGTGTGCTACATGCCTAATGTTTCCACGTATTATCTCATTTAATCCTCAGCACCTCTGCAAGGAAAAGGCTAACTTCCTTTTGAAGTTAAAGAAACAGAGACTTAGAGATGCAAAGTAGTTGAATTATGACCAGTGGAACCGAGGCCGGAATCCAGTTTGAATCTAAGGAGTCTTTTTTGTTTTTCTGTTTTGTTTTGTTTTGAGAGAGTGTCACTCTGTGTCCCAGGCTGCAGTGCAGTGGTGCAATCTCAGCTCACTGCAACCTTCATCTCCCGGGCTCAAGTGATTCTCGTGTCTCAGCCTCCTGAGTAGCTGGGATTACAGGCATGCACCACCAGGCCCGGCTAATTATTATTATTATTTTTAATTTTAGTAGAGATGAGCTTTCACCATGTTGGCCATGTTGGTCTCAAACTCCTGACCTCAAGTGATTGTCCTGCCTCAGCCTCCCAAAGTGCTGGGATTGCAGGCGTGAGCCACCACACCCGACATAAGGAGCCTCTTATACCACTGTCTCTTCCTCTGTGATTGGGGGGCTCCATGCCTCTAGCTGGGATGATGATGATGTCCAGACCTGGGAGGGCCCCAGGGCTACCCACCTCTAAAAGTCAGAGGGCAGGAAGCAAGAAACAGTCATAGGACTGCCCCGGAGGGTGCTGGGGTCACCTGTCCCCAGGCTGCAGCTGCCTGTGGCCTGGCACCTCCCCTCCCCAGAGGCTGGTGCCCGCCTCCCACATCTTCTTGGATGGGTCGGAGGTTACAGTCTCTTTCAGCTCACCCGACTTCTCCAGCTCCTTTACTTGCTGCTCCAACTGCAGTGTGCTCTTGTTCTCGTTGTTCTGGACAGAGAGAAGCAATCAGTGGCCACCCACTAAAACTGGAGACCCCAGAACTTAGTGTCTGCCTCCCATGGCACCGGGAAGGGTGGAGGCAGGTTAGAAAAATATCCCCTCTCTCCCACAGCCATCAGAGCGGGGCTCTGGCTCACAGATGCCTTTAGAAGTACCATTTCATGTGAAGGCTACAATGCCCCATTTTACAGGTGGGGAAACAAAGGCCTTGAGGGCTAGGGAAGAGGGCAGCCTCCCCAGGTGGGGCAACGCACCAGCTCCTCGAAGCCGCTGCGTGGCTCGGCCCGCTGCTCGTACAGGGCTTCCCACCCCAGCTCCAGCATCCTCTCCAGCTCCCGCAGCCTCTCCAGCTCCCGCAGCCTCTCCAGCTCCCGCAGAGTCTCCTGCTGCCACAGCCTCTCATCCTGTTGCCGAAGCCTCTCCTGCTCCAGGAGCTCCTCCACCTCGTCCAGCAGCCTCTCCCTCTCCAGCAGCCTCTCCTGCTCCTCCTGCCGCCTCTCCTGTTCTAACAGCTTCTCCACCTCTTCCAGCAGCCTCTCCTGCCCTGGCAGCTTCTCCTGTTCACACAGCCTCTCCTCCTGTTCACATAGCCTCTCCTCCTGTTCACACAGCCTCTCCTCCTGTTCATGTAGCCTCTCCTCCTGTTCACACAGCCTCTCCTCCTGTTCACGTAGCCTCTCCTCCTGTTCACACAGCCTCTCCTCCTGTTCACGTAGCCTCTCCTCCTGTTCACACAGCCTCTCCTCCTGTTCATGTAGCCTCCCCTCCTGTTCATGTAGCCTCTCCTCCTGTTCACGTAGCCTCTCCTCCTGTCTCCTGTTCAGGAGACTCAACATCTGATTGTTTTCCACCTCAGCCTGGAGCTGTCTTCCCACACTCTCTAGCTCCTTCCTTAGGTGGTTGGTCTCATCTTGTAGCTGCTCCACCTTAGATGGCCCTGCTGGGGGCTCTGGGGCCAGGGGTTCAGCTGAGAAAGCAAGCAGAGAATAAGGGCCTCTGGATTCTCAAAAAAAAAAAAAAAAAATCCTCCCTTTGGTGCACAGCTCCTCCTCTCAGGCTTCCCAAACTTGGCCTCACTGCTAATGACTCCTCACACCCGGATGGTAGACAATCTTCCAAGTCACTTTCAGATAGAGAGCACTGTGGGTGGCTGACAATGGGCACTCCTCCCTCTTTACTGATGGGGACACTGAGGCTCATGGAGATGACAAGACTTGTCCTCCCCTGGCACAGACCTCTTTCCCTCTGCCTCAAAGCCCTTCCATCCACCCACCTCCCTGGGGCATTCTAAGTCACCCCCACAGCCCTCTAATGCCAGTCCAGCTGCCAGGTCATGCCAGCCCCATCTTACCCGTCTGGTTTTTGAGTTTGAACAAGCTCCTCCCAAGCTTCTGTACCAGATGTATCTCATGCTTCTTCTCCTCCTTAGATGTGCGAACCTGCCCAAAGCAAAGGGGGAAAAGGGCCCTGGAGGGAGGGGCTGGTGAACGTCCAGAGACAGAGTTTGAGAAAGGCCCACCCCCCTTCTGCCAGTTTGTGATTTAGAAACGTGCATTCATTCAACAAACATTTACTGAGCATGTACAGGCCAGGTACAGTTCTTCATAGCAGAGATATAAAACAGCAAAGGACAGACAGGAGCCCTTGGCCCTGAGGTTTCCATTCTAGGGGCCTTTAAATCTCTGACTTTCAGAGCTAACCAAGACCTTTGATACTCTCTACCTCCTCCAGAAACACGAGCATAAAGAGGAGAGATGGCTTGTCCAGACTCAAAAAGCAAATTAGGGACTGAGGCAGGGCAGAAATATGGACCCCTGACAACCAGTCAGGCTAGTGCTTCCCAGAGAGGTGACAACCCCAGGGCATGTGTGGCAAGGACTAGAGCAGGGGTGTCTGGAGAAGAGAGAGTCAGCAAAGAGGGCAGTGCAGAAGACCCATGCTGCATGTTCTGTGCTCTGGGGTCCCTCCAGGTGAGACCTGGGTGCCCAGCTCCCCATTTGCCCTTGGCATCAGGGGCCCCTAGCTCCTTTCTTCAGGGCCCCAAGAGGAAACTGGAGTCCAGGATTGACCAGCTGTAATCAGGGGACCCCACTGGACTCTTACCAGTGAATTGATGTTTTCAGTGAGTTGACTGATTATTGCGGAGCTTGAATCCAGGGCCACTGCTAGTTCTTGGTACTGGCTCTGAGGTGCATGCAGAGAGAAGGAGTTGGAGGAAGATTGTGGCGAGGGGTAGAGAGAATAATCATTAGGGCTGGTGGGGGTGTGTGGGCTGCCTCAGCTGGCAGAGGGGCAACAAGCCCCTGCTGTGGGAGGAGGTTGGAGGGCTGGCCTGCAGGGTCACTGCACCTCGGCCCAGGGCCTCTTACCTCCAGATCCTGCAGGGTAGTAGAGGATGCACGGCCCTCCCCGTAGATACCTGTTGCTGACTGCAAGAGATGAGAGTGCACATGGAGATGTTCTGTCCCCCCTCACTGTCTAAGCCCTCTGACTTCCTTTCTTCCCCCATCAACTGGCAAAAGCTTCTTTTCTGCCTATCTTGGACCCTTTTCCCCATAACTCCTTTGTGCCAACTTCTCTCGTGGTTCTTATCTCCCCACCATCCCACCCTGGGGCCCTTTCAGTGACTCCTAAAGGGACAGCCTGATGGCAAGTGGCTCTTCTCATTGGCCTGGCTTCCCCTTGAGACTGGGGATGAGGAAAATCAAACAGCAACGACCATTTCCTCAGTGTCCTGGGTGTTTGCAGCAGGCCATGTACTAAGGATTCACATAAAAGCAACAATAACGAATCTCATTTAAACTTCACAAATGGAAGTCAAAAAATACCACCTCTATTATACAGATGTGAAAAGAGAGGCCCAAAGACCTCAAGCAACTTGCCCTAAATCATATGCTAATCAATCCCTAATCAATTCTTAGCAGACGGAGAGGCAGGATTCAAATCCAGAATTCTTAACCAGTACCCAACAGTCCATCTACAATCTTAACAATTACCCTCTACTGCCCCTTGGGCCCCCTGTCCCCAGGAGCCTGGCCCGCCGAGACTCACATCCCCAGGTGAGTGGTAACCACCAGAAGTGGCTGTGTCAGGGCTACTGCCATTGACTTTCTTTTTCCTGTTAGCTCCTGCTGGAATGCCAGGGCTCTTCCTCTGCCAATATGCTTTTAACTGTGGGAAAGAAGAGCGGTAACACTCATGAGAATGATCAGCCCCTACAGCCACATCCTCCTTTACAGTTTTGACAAAATACCCTTATATACCATCTGATGTAATGCCACCAACAACCGTACAAGGTGTTGTCACAATCAGTGACTGAGAGGGATTCATATCATGGATAGAAAAAAAAAAAAAGAAAGATCAAAAAAGGCAATACTGGAACTTAAACTCAGTCCTCTGACTCCACGCTCTGGGGTTTTGCCATGAATCAGCAGCTTCCAGGGACCAAAACCAGGGGCAGAGGTAGAAAAGCACACATTAAGCAGGCAGGAACTGTAGGCCGTGTGGTTTAGAGTCATACATCCTCACAGGTCTGCTAGCGTGAAGAAGCGTACCAGTACCTCTCACACTTTCATATCAATGTGTCCTCATGGCAGAAGGCAGCTTTTCTATTAAATCTGGGAATTTATCAGAAAGAGGACAACCCAAGCCTCATTTCAGAGCAAAGTCTGGTATACGCTTGGAAACCTATGTGTCTGTCATCCCCAAGTACATTAATGCATTTTCTCAAGAGAATCAAGGGAAAATGATGCTTCAGAAAGATGTCCCGCATTTATCCTGTGGCACTCAAAGTACCCCAGGTTGAGACGATATGAGGAAGATTCAAGCTGTCAAGTTCAGTTTCCCAAGATCTATTCCACAGAAGATGAGCAAATCTCACTTCAGAGGCCACTGACTGAAGGGCAGTCTGGTCCCAGAACCGTGGAGAACTCAGAAAAAAATGTTAAAGTCTCTCTGGAAAGTAGAAGCCTGGGAAAAAACCAAACCAAACCCATTCTCCCATTGCCACCCAGAGATACTGTGAACATTTTGAGCTCACAGGGGAAGTGTAGGCTTTTCCCACTGTCAATGTCTATGTTAAGGGAGTAAGGCAGCCTGAAACCTCTTGCTCCTAGGTCCCATAGTCTCCACTCCCCTTCCAGCTGGAAATTTGTGCTGCAACCAGAGGAACCAGAAATGGGGTGAGAAAACTTAGGGGACTGGGTTGTAAGATCAAAGGCCGGTCTTGCAGCAGTAATGACAGTTCCTAGGGGCACTGTGACATCATTGCATTCCACTCCTCCCAGGGGAGGGGACCACATCAGCGCGATGCCCGAGTCGCTGCTCCACGATGGGGGAGGGAAACACACGGTTTCGACCCAGGTCCTCAGAGACGCCAGCCCAAGAAGCCTAGGGAGGTCGAGCTTGGGGCAGCAGGAGGGGAGGGCAGAGTCTGCAGTAGGGAGCCCCGGGAGTCACCAGCCCAAAGCCACCCAGGGATGACTGGTGAGGGCAGGGCCTGGGGCTGGGGGACCCAGGTCCTGGGAGACGCAAGCCCAAAGAGCCCAGGGAGGTTGGGCTTGGGGTGGCAGGAGGTGAGGGCTGATTATGGAGCAGGGAGCCCCAGGAGTCACCTGCCCAAAGTCACCCTGGGGTGATTGGCAAGGGCAGGGACTGGGCTGCTTGCTGAAGGGGTGGGGCTGACTGACTAGGCTTTGGTTGGGGGAGCCCAGAGGGGCTGGGGTTGGGGGGCCCCATCTGGTATGCCTCAGGAGTGGTATGGACTCTGGCACAGGTCTTGTCATCGGAGGGGATCTGTGGCTGGGTTGGGGGCCATGACCTGGTGTGTTTTACCTTTTTCTTGGCTGCGGCCAATTTCCCCTGTTGTGTTTTTTCTGACATCGCAGGGTGGGGAGGGAGGCGGGGTTGGGGCCACATCAGCGAAATACCAGTGAGCACTGCTCAATGCCTCCAGTCACCTACCAGGCAGCTGTGCAACTGAGCCACAGGTGGCGTAACCAGGGCACCAATGGAACGCAGAATAGGGGCGTGGCCTTAAGGCTCCAAGCCCATTGGTCAGTGAGAAAGATGAAAGGGAAAGGAGGCGTGGCCAGGCAGCAGCATGTCCAGAGGGACCTGTGGCATCATAAGGAAAGCTGCCCATGCAACCGCTGTCCCCGCCCACTCAGAGAAAGGGGAGGGGCCGCCCACTCTGGGAGAGGGGAAGGGCTGGGTTTTGCTTTAAAACTTTTAAAACTGTAAAAAATAAACTTTAAAAAATATATGTGTATATACTTTATATATATGTGTGTCTGTGTGTGTGTATCTATGTGTTCCTCCAGAGCTGTCTTCATTATGCAGCTTCTGTGCAAAGTCTGTGATTTTGGCCTATATTTTTCATCTTCAAATGGAGTACAAGAATTACCAGTATTACCTTAACTGAGATATAGATCCTATAAAAATGGAAAATCCATAGCATGCTTGATGATTAATGAAGCCGACTATAGTATCCGACATTCCAATAAGACAAAATAATCACAACAATTTCTCTTTTTTGGAAAAATGTTTGTCTTATTCTCCTACATTATTGTTAAGATTTCTTTTAAAAACAAGAAACATGTCTAATATCTTTAAAAACACAAAGCTTTTGGGCCGGGTGCAGTGGCTCACGCCTGTAATGCCATCACTTTGGGAGGCCGAGGTGGGTGGATTGCCTGAGGTCAGGAGTTCGAGACCAGCCTGGCCAACATGATGAAACCCTGTCTCTACTAAAAATACAAAAACTAGCCAGGCGTGGTTGCGGGTGCCTGTAATCCCAGCTATTTGGGAGGCTGAGGCAGGAGAATCACTTGAACCCAGGAGATGGAGGTTGCAGTGAGCCAAGCTCACGCCACTGCACTCCAGCCTTTTGAGATGGGAGCAAGACTCCATCTCAAAAGAAATAAAATAAAATACAAAATAAGTAAGAACACAAAGCTTTCAATTTAATAACCACTTAAAGCTCTTTACTGGTTTAAGAGAATTACAAGGCCCATTTTTCTAGAATCACCTGGCCTCTCTAAGCCTTGCAAATGAAGCTGAATTTCTCACTTGATACTTGGCTCTCACTTGCAGTCATGAAAACCAAGAATTTGTTATGTCACTGTGTATTGCTTGTTACCTGAAATCCACACTAGGCTGGGATCAAGGGTTGAATCTTTCATGATTTTCTCCATAACCTGTGTGCTTCTTATCCCACACCAAACTAAGCTTTTTTTCTAGAGCTCTGCAACTTACAGTTAGTATATGAGAGCAGTTCTCAAAAATGTAGTCTCTGGACTAGCAGCTCCAGCAGCACCTGGGAACTTCTTATAAATACACATCCTCCGGCCCCACCCTGGACCTGATGAATCAGAAACTCTGGAGTAGGGCTCAGCAATCTGTGCTGCAGTAATCCCTCCAGGTGTTCAAGAACCTCTGGCATACAGCAGGTAGAAAAATGTGTTTCCTTCTGTAGGTCCAAAACCAGGGATACTATATGTTTTCTCTATATGAAACAATGACGTGCAATTAAAAGACATAAATCTCCTTCCTGCTCCCACCTTCCAGCCAATGTGTTTTATTTTTATGAGTTAAATAAGAAAACAATCAGAGATTTCGTCTAAATCGCATATTTACAGGTATCAGTTCTCATCCAGCCTGATCTTATCCAATATCATTTATATTCTCTTACATGTGAAGTTTTAGAGAAGGATCTTCACAATGTAAGACTCAGGCACACTAGCAGTTCTGTAATAAAACACCAAGTAGATCAGAATGTCCAAACTTACTGGAGAAGAAAAGTGGAATCATTGGCTATATTTTCAAATTGCAATAAACAGGATATTAAAGTTTTGAATTTTTTTCACCTTCATCCTTCCACATTAATAGAATTAAGCCAAAATACTTGTCTTCCAAAGCCTCTAGCCAGGCAAAATTTTACTATATTACTTCTTGCTTTTCAATGGCTATAAAGCAGACTCCTTGTAGGCACATTTGGTATACCTGCAAAGATGAAGAACTAAACAGTTCCATCTGTTCAATACTGAAACAAAAGTCCTGCAAACCTCGGATGGTGAGTGTAATACTTCAGCACTAGCACCAAAGCCTCAAATATGAAAAGATACCAAGAACACCACTAGCAAACAAAACTAAACTCTCGGCTGGGAGCTCTAGTTCATGCCGTAATCCCAGCACTTTGGCAAGCAAAGGTGGGAGGATTACTTGAAGCCAGGAATTCAAGACCAGCCTTGGCAGCATAGTGAATTCACACCTCTACAGAAAGTTTTTAAAATTAGCTGGGTGTGGCAGCACACTTCCTGGGGCAGATGTGCCATTGCTGGAAACTTCTCTATGGAGAGTACCAAGTACTTCTACCTGTAGCATTTTCCCTGGCTGGAATCCTGCAATTATCACAGTAGCCCGAGATCCAAGAAGGCAGAGCAGGAGCATCCTGTCCCCTCCCCAGCAGGTGCAAGGGAGGCTGGGGGGTGAGGCACAAGCCCGTGGGAGGGTGAGGAGCAGGAGGGATGCATGGTGAGCCTCTGTTGACTGCTTGCTGCCTCAGCTGGAAGGTCAGGACCAAATGTCTATTACAGGTTAAATTACAGAAGTATTTCAGATTTTGGATTTTTTTCAGATTTTGGAATTCGAAAATCTGAAATCCAAAATGCTCCAATGAGCATTTCCTTTGAATCTGGCCTTCGAACATCATGTCGGCACTCAAACAGTTTTGGATTTTGAAGCATTTCAGATTTTGGATTTTCGGATGAGGGATGCTGTATTATCTTCTGAATGAGGCCACTCATTCAGGAAAGCCCAGAGCTTGGGGACGTGGAGCTGCAGACCAAAGAGGTGATTTCTGTAGTGGCTTTCAGTGCGGAAGGGCCTACAAAGTGGTTTAAAGCAAGCCACAAAATAGGAAACCCAATATTTAGCTAATGGAACTCTGATAAAACCTGCTCAAGATGTCTGTCTCTACTAATTCAGATGGAGCCAAGCCAAAGCATCATTATTATTTTAAAAAGGCACCAATCCCTCTGCAAAAGCACTGAATTATATCATGATACAATCATCAATTGTACCATGAATCACCATCAGCGGTGGTCTTTTAGGGATATGAAGAAGGGGTTTTCACAATACATCGCATGACACACCATCTTCCAAATCTCTAAACATTTCTCTCCACAGCCCAGTCCTCTCCATAGTTGTCCAAATCCCTCCCTCTTTTCTCTTGTTGTCTCCAAAACTCAAAACCATGCTCTGACTTTCTATATCCTGCCCTCCCCTTCTTGGACCATCTGGGAAGCCCCCTGCTTCCCCAGGGTGTCCCCTCCTCCCCTTCTGGGATCAGTCATCTTTCCTCAAATGGACCAGTTCGGCCTCTCTTAGTTTCTCCAACTCTGCATCTCAACCTTTCTCCCTTCACTACACAATAATGTCCAGGAGGCAAAGAGCCCACAAACCTGGGAACCTCCCTTTCCAGAAGGGAGGTTCTGGAATGACTACAAATATTTGGTTATGATTTTCTTCCCTGCCACGCCTGTTTTCATGGGCAGTGCTGAGCCCCGGTCCTGGCAGAGCTCAGAACCAGGCTCTCATGAGCTGGGGCAAGTGGGGCCTAGGGAACCTCTGGGTTGAGGACCTTGCACCCCACTCTGCAGCTGCCCTGCTGATTTGGCTCATGCAACCTCTCCTCCTGGGCTCAAGTGATCCTTCTACATCGGTCTCCCAAGTAGCTGGGATTTGGGCTACCACGTTTGGCTAATTTTTGTATCTTTTAGTACAGATGGGGTTTCACCTGTAGCCCAGGCTGGTCTCGAACTCCTGGGCTCTAGTGATCTACCCTCCTCAGCCTCCCAAAGTGCTGGGATTACAGGTGTGAGCCACTGCGCCCGGCCTTGTGCCAGCTTTTAAATATCAACAAGGACAAATTAGAGAACAGTGGAAGAGGGTGAGCAGCATGATGAGGTGATACAGAAATAATTTCACATGAAGAACTGGGCATGCCTGGCTTTTTTTTTTTTTTAAGCTATTCTGGGTTGGATGCTGAGGCTCACACCTGTAAGCCTGTAATCCCAGCACTTTGGGAGGCCGAGGTGGGTGGATCACCTGAAGTCAGGAGTTTGAGACCAGCCTGGCCAACATGGTGAAACCCTGTCTCTACTAAAAATACAAAAAATTAGCTGGAATTGGTGGCATGTGCCTGTAATTCCAGCTACTCGGGCAGCTGAGGCAGGAGAATCGCTTGAACCTGGGAGGCGGAGGTTGCAGTGAGCTGATATCGTGCCATTGCACTCCAGCCTGGGCAACAAGAGTGAAACTCTGCCTCAAAAAAAAAAAAAAAAAAAAGAAAGAAAGAAAAGAAAATATATCTATGCACCAGAGCTCAACACTAGGTTAGGAGCATTTCTGAGATTTGGAGCTATTCAACCATGGAAGTTCCTGGCACATACATCAGGTATTCACAATACCCTTTCTCAGGTGTTTGGTCACTGCTAGTGAGCCTGCCTGGATCAGTGTTTCCCAAATGGCAGTCATTTGCATCTTTGCATTTTTTTGGGGGGGGGGTTGTGGGGGTATATACCATACCAGATTTTTTAAAAATTGACATTAAAAATACATGTATAAAATGTGTAAAGTGCACTAATCTAAAGTGCACTGGATGTATTTTTTATTGATGTACATACTTTTGTTATCCATCACCCAGGTCAAAATACAGAATCAGCACCACAGAGGGTTCCCTCCTCCTCCTTCCCAGCCAATAATCTTCTCCTCCTACCTAACCAACTGTTCTTACTTCAATCACTGTCAACTAGTATTTTACATTCTTGAACTGCATATAAAGTGTCTCAAGTTTCACTTAACACTTTTCTTGAAATACACTTGTTTTTTGCCACTTTTTATTTGACCTAAGAAGTAACATTAATGAAACAATGATTTGACGTGATAGGCATTTCCCTCCTAATGAGCACTAAAACACTTAACTATTTGAAAAAAGAAGTTTCTCCGTGTACCAGCTAATATATTCTCCTCGGCCGCCGTTGGTACACGGACCACATTTTGTTTCTCAAAGCAATCCGATGATTTCTGAGGTCCTTTGCAGCTTGAACACGGAACGACTGTGGTGATCGAGTAGCCAAAAGTTCACGGAATGCACTGTCACAATTGTGATTCCGCCATAGCGCCGTGCATCCATCCAACACTTGTTTAATACCTATATTTAATACCTAATACCTTAGACTGTCCTAGGCTGTGGACACAGAAGACTAAACCCCACTTCCTGAGTTGAAGTGGGGGAAATAGAGGAGTAAATCATTTCACGATGTGTGGTTAAATGCTACAGCTCAGGTAACCACGAGCACACAGAGAAAGGGCAGTTTCTAGAAACAGGGCGGAGAGGAGACCGTGAGTGGGCATTTCCCAGAGCAGTCTCTGCCAGCCACCCTGCTGTGATCACTTTGCCACAGAGCAGCCCCGGCGGTCAACCTCAGCCTCCCTTAGCAACCTGAGCGCCCCGCCCAGGTGCCTTACTATTGGTCTCGTGGAGCGGGATGGGCAGCTCTGCCGTGCAATCCCAGCTCGCAGCCCTTGCTCCGCGTGTACTCACGGGAGGACTCGCAGACGTTACTGCCCTCTTGCGTGCCCCGGCCACCCCCGGGCGGCTTGTAGCCGGTGCGCGGGGTGGCTGGGGCTACGTGCAGAGCTGTCGCGGAGCCGGAACAGCAGCGGTGAAGCCCCTCGGCTCGGCCGAGACCGCCGTGCCCATTGCTCGCCTCGGTTGCCGCCGCTTTAGCCGCAGCCGCTGCTGCCGCCGCCGGGGGAGAGGCAGCCTATTGTCTTTCTCCGCGGCGAAGGTGAGGAGCTGTCTCGGCTCGGCCCGCGGGGGAGCCCCGGGAGCCGCACGGTGAGAGCGCAACTTAGTTGGCGGAGTTGGGGGAAGTTTTGTGATTTGAGGAGGGGTCGGGGTGCGGAGCGCGGCCCGTCCCCTGCGGCCGCTCGGTGGGGCGGGCCCCAGAGGAGGGTCGGGGGCTGCGCGGGGCTTCAGGGGCGGGCGGCACGGATGGGTAGCCGGGCGGCGCGGGGACCTCAGCTTTGCGGACCCCTCCTCCCTGCGCATCACCCTTCTCCCGCATTGTCTGCTTGGGGCTCGGCGCGCCTCCCACTCCGCAGCCCAACTTGGGGGCCGTCGCCGCTTTCCGGATGGGGGGCGCGCCCGGCGGCGGATGGCCCCGAACCCTTGCCCCGGGTCCCCGGGTTGGCGCCGCTGGGGCGGACTCACTCCTCCCCTGGGGCGGGCGGCCGCGGTGTGGAGTCCGCGCCGCGAACAAGTGCTGCGGGCGCGAGGGAGCGGTTCCCCGGGGCCGACGCGGACGGTAAACCTGTCCGGCGGCGCCCGCCTGCTGGGGCCTCTCCGCTGTTTCTCGCGGGCGCGGCCCGGCTGAAACTGCGACCGTCGGAGGCGAGCGGCCCTCTGGGACCCGTGCAGCCGGTCCACCTTGCAGCTATACTTTGAGACTAAACATTTTTTTTTTTTTTTTTTGCAAAGGCAAACCGGTATGTGAAGTTGAAAAAAGCAAAAACCCTCAAATTTTCCTTCTTTCTTCTTTTTTTTTTTTTTTAAATCAAGAAAGGGGGTAGATAGGTTTGTTTTGTTTTGGAAATAGTTTTTATAGCAGAGTGATACCGTCACATTTAATGATCCTACTGTGAATTCAAGAATTCACGATGAAAGTTGGATTGAGCGGTATTTTGGTGTTCATTCTTTGCTGATACTCATTAATGAAGTTAGTTGGAGAATTTATTGCTTCAGTACAGTAAAAACCAGTGTGCCTTTTTTTTTGTTACTACTCCCCCCTCCCCGCATTGTTTTATTTTTCGAAGAAGCACTTTATTCAGTTTTTCTAAGCCACGGGATTGCCCAGATGAGGACCAACGGTGCAGTTCTTGAAAGGTCATTATTGGCAAGTTTGTGAGGGAGCTAAGATGAGTTGAGATAAACCAGTGTTACTGTTCTTGTATTCTGTCGTGGACTCTTGGGGATTTGCAGGCTGCATTAAGTACAAGTCTGGTCCAGTTTTGGGTGCACGTATTCCACTGAATTTGGTTCGTCTGGCTTATTATATGAACATGATTCTGTTTCACTTCCCCAGATGGAACTAGCTTAAATGTCTATCATTTATAGTGACAAATGATCAAAATGGCTAGAGTGTCATTTATTAACTTCAGTTGTAGTCCTTTACCTTACCTTCTGCTAAATGAAAAAGAAAAATTTGACAAATACTGTGTGCGTCAGTTTGCTCTGAGTGATTTCTCGTGCTAAGTGAGTCCTTTGGAGAAGCGTTCCTGGGCTTTTCTGGTTTGGTGGGCCTTGTGTTATAAAACCAATTTTCTTCACCTGATGAAGCTAAAGACAAATTTTCTTCAGGCACAGGCATTGCCCTTTTAAACTACAGAGCCACTTGTAGGATTCACAATACTCACTCAATGGCTTCCCTTCCTGGCAGTGTGGTTTTGTGTGTGTGTGTGATTGTGGGGAAGGAGGCTGACAGAGGTTGGAAGGGATTGTCAGGGAGGGACATCATGTAAGCAAGTACTAACAACATAACGTGACGAGGGCACCAGTTGCTTTCCTTCTGTGGGCGGTGATGGCATGTTATACTGTAGGTACTATTGTTGTAGGATTTCTCACAGTTCGTTTGCCTTGACTACATGGTAACTGCACACATACTATACTATAAATGGACTCCTCCTCTAGTCCTTTAACTCCTTGAGGGCTGTGATAGACCTTATTTAACTTTGTACCCTCTTTGCCAGTGGTTTTAACATAGTGCAGGCACGGTATGTGTTTGAATTGGGTAAATTACTTTTACTGCCTAGTGGTAGCTGGTGTACACAGGAGAGGGCCACCAACTCTGGGGACTTGTCCAAAATGACAATTCACTTGCAGATCTCTGATGAAATTTACTTTAAAAGGACTTCTAACCTTTTTTTTAATCTGTCGGTTATTTTTTGAAAAGAAGTGGGGCTTAACTAGTGCTCTAAGGATTTTAACAAGAGATTCCGATTTAGAAATCTGTTCCCCCTTTTGGTGAAATTCTTATTTTTTTTAGAGTCAGAATCTTCACTGTTGCCCAGTTGTCTTCCTGGGACCCAAGCCGTCCTCCCACCTCAGCCTCCCACAGTACTGGAATTACAGGCGTGAGCCACCCCACCCAGCTGGTGAAATTATTAAAATTGTAGTGAAAACTCTGCCTCCATTGTGAAATTGGAAAAAAATTAGAAATTTTAGAAAAAAGTACGCCCTTTGGAGCTAGGTAGAGTTCAGATCCCCACATTTCCATTGAGTAGTTGCATAGCCTCTCAGAGCTTCAGCTTCCTACTCCTTAAGGGTTAGTAACATGCTTTGCAGTGTTGTTAGGAATCAGTGAAACTGTGTGAGATACTTAACTGCAGTATCTAACATGGAGTAGGTAGCTATTTCCTGGTAGCTGTAATGATAATAATTTTGATACGTTTTTACATGACTTAAGCATTCTGAAAAGTCTGATGCTTCTGAGTATGGAGGCTTAGCTATTTCTTTCATAAAGAAGGGGCCCTGAGACTTGTGAGTCTTATCCAAATGCGTTTCTTCAAAGGTGTCAGATGAACTGAAGGATAATGGAAACAATAGCAAATTTATCTTCTCAGTCACCTGTGAGTCTTCCTTTGAGAGTGGGACTTGCAGAGTACTTGGTAGGGTAGAGCTCTTTGTGACTATGCTATTTAGGAAATGGTGAGAGATGGATTGTTTTCAGTACATCAGTCATAAGAGGATATGAGTGAGTTCCAACTTTCCTTATTTTACCTTAGTCTTGACAAATAACAAGTATGGATTATGTCTGTATTTCTCAGACTTGTTTAAGGTAGAACTGGACTGGGTGTTAACAGTGTTAGTTCAGCAGAGACATGAGCAAATCACTCACTTCCCCTTCAAGATAACACTTTAAAGGTGCCACCATTTGCAGAAGAAAGCAGTGATTTAAAGCAGCTATACTAGCACAGTTTAGAATACTTACACTAGCTGATGGAGTAGATACATTCTAGAAATATTTACCTGTAGTGGGAGTTGAACAGTGAGAACACACGGACACAGGGAGTGGGGAACATCACACACTGGGGCCTGTTGGGGGTTGGGGGGCTAGGGGAGGGATAGCATTAGGAGAAATACCTAGTGTAGATGACGAGTTGATGGGTGCAGCAAACCACCATGGCACGTGTGTACCTATGCAACAAACCTGCACGTTCTGCACATATACCCCAGAACTTAAAGTATAATAATAAGAAAGAAAAATAAATATTTACCTGTTAAGGACATTTCTGTGTATTTTATTCCATCTTTCCAATAGTTTTCTTATGAAGAGATTATAGTTAACCTTTGAACTTAACAGATTGAGAGGGTAAACCTTTAAAAAATATATTTGGTCACACTTACAGACTGAGGGTAAAAACATTCCTGACAAAGCTAGGCGAAGACACTTGGACTTTTTTTTTTTTTTGAGACGGAGTCTCGCTCTGTCACCCAGGCTGGAGTGCAGTAGCACGATCTTGGCTCACTGCAACCTCTGCTTCCCCGGTTGAAGCGAATCTTCTGCCTCTCCCGAGTAGCTGGGACTACAGGCACACGCCACCATGCCTGACTAATTTTTGTATTTTTAGTAGAGACGGGGTTTCACCATATTGACCAGGCTGGTCTTGAACTCCTGACCTCGTGATCCACCCACCTCAGCCTCCTAAAGTGCTGGGATTACAGGCATGAGCCACTGCACCCGGCTGAAACTTGGACTTTTGATGTTTCCTTCTTTTAAAGTTAACATCTAGCACTTGAATAGACTTGGTTATTACTGATGGGGACAGGCATCCATTTGGAAGTAGCTTCCCTCTCTCTCTCTTTCCCAGGTTAGGCTGTCTTATTGCTGTAAATGGGGAGAGAAGAGAAAGCCGTGGGTGGAAGAAAGTGTTTCATGGCCTGGTGCGGTGGCTCATGCCTGTAATCCCAGCACTTTGGGAGGCCGAGGCGGGTGGATCACTTGAGTTCAGGAGTTCAAGACCAGCCTGGCCAACATGGTGAAACCCCGTTTCTACTAAAAACAGAAAAATTAGCTGGGCATGGTGGCGGGCACCTGTAATCCCAGCTACTTGGGAGGCTGAGGCAGGAGAATCACTTGAACCCAGGAGATGGAGGTTGCAGTGAGCCGAGATTGCACCACTTCACTCCAGCCTGGTCGACAGAGCGAGACCTTGTCTCAAAAAAAAAAAAAAAAGTGTCCCACTCAGTTGCCCAGGCTGAAACGCAGTGGCAGGATCACTGCTCACTGCAGCCTTGAACCAAGCGATTATCCCACCTCAGCCTCCCAAGTAGCTGGGATCACATGCATGCACCGCCATGCCTGGCTAATTTTTTTATTTTTGTAGAGACAGGGTCTCTCTATGTTGCCCAGCCTGGTCTCAAACTCCCGGGATGAAGCAATCCTCCCACCATGGTCTCCCAAAGTGTAGGGCTTACAGGCGTGAGAGCCTGCTGGGGTTTTTGATTGACATTGCATTGAAACTGGAAATCAGTTAGGAGGCAACTGACATTTTAATAATGAGCCATGAACATGGTATATCTATTTATTTAGACCTTCTTAGATTTTTCGTCAGTGTTTTGTAGTTTTTAGCAGTTGGATCTTGCTTGTATTTTGTAATCTTACACATTTATTTCATGTTTGTGGTACTGTTGTGAATGATACTTCTCAATTTCCAGTTGGTGATTGCTAGTATATAGGAAGGTGATTTTATGTTATATGCTGACCTTGGATTCTACAACCTTGCTAAACTCATTTTTAGTACTAGAAGCTTTTTTGTAGATTTTTGGAATTTTGTGCATAGACAGTAATGTCACTGGCAAATAAGGGCAGTTTAATTTCTTTGTTTTCACTTTGTATGCTTTTATTTCCTTTTTTTTTTTTGAGACGGAGTTTCTCTCTTGTTGCCCAGTAAATTAGCCCATGTAAATATTTCTGTTTGTATCTCTTGAAAGTAAAGACTCTTTTAACCATGGATGAGTGTCTTGATCAAATCAACATGGCTTGTTCATGTCGATACCATTTGCTCAGAGGGGAAAGATTAAGGGAAAAATGGGGTTGGATTTGAAATGCCAGGACCTGTCTACTGGGTTTGTGATTTGTTATTCTCTAAAGTTGTAGCTCTTAAAACAAAGAAAGGAGTGAGTTTGGCCTATTCATTAACTTTTACTCTTTAGACAGTTCAAATGTTTATTGAGTTCTTCTACAGGGCGAGCCCTGCCTTCTTCATGCTTACCAAGAAGCATTTTTACGCGGTTTCTCTAATGTTTGGGTGAACGGTACCTCACTAAGTTGTTTTTCACGCACGTGCGTGCTCGTTCCTGAAGAGTCCTGTCCAGGTGCTCTGCCCGCTTTTCCTTTCAGGCTTCTGTATCAGCTGCCGTTTCCCTATAGAACGTGCCCTGACCTCCACCCCTTAACCCTAACCAATTTGCCTTTACATGTCTGACCATCCATCAAGGCTCTTTTGGGTCATATTCAGTCCATGTTGATATTTCCCCTTCCTCCCTTCTTTAGTCCTTACTATTTTTGCTTTGGTCATGTTTTCTTACACTGTATTCTGTAAGCCTGTTTAATTTTTTTATGGTGGCAGGGGAAAATATTTTATAATTATGCTTTGTGCTTTTTATCTTCCACTCAATAAATGCTTGGTAAATATTTGTTTTATTGAATGTATGAGCCTATTCTAGCTATATTGTGCTTGAACAAAAATCTTAACTGCCTTGTAAGTTAACTGCTAAGAATTTGTCAAAAGTGCAGAGATAACATCAAGAGCTTGTCATGGATAGTACAAAAAGGTCTCTAAGGGCTTGATGGAAGTCTGTAAATTGACTTCCTATGAAAGAGAGTGTAAGAAGTGAAAAAAAGCAAAACAGAGTAGATGTTTTACTCTGTTTGCCAAGGGATTTGTGCTATTTTTTTCCTGTTTTATAAATTTGTCCTAATCTTAAATAATGAAGGGAAAAGAGCACTCTTTTTCAACCAAGGAATCCTTTTTATACTTCTTTTCTGTGAAGCCATGTTATGAAAGATTGTTATACAAACTTAAGTATAGTTTTTCCATCTTCAGTAACAGACCTGATTGCCATCTAGTTACTGGTTCTGATCACACAAGAATGCAAAGCAGCTTGTTCTAATAACTTGTGCAGGCCTATTGGGAACTAGTATATGGCTTTGAGTCCTTTTGAAGTATTTAACATAATTTGGCAATTCCATTACGCCTTTTATGGACTTCTTGGCATCTATGAACTCTTGGTAGGGAATCACTGTTTTAGAATGAAAAATGTCTCCCAGGAAGTAAATTAGCCGGTAAACAAATGAAACTTCATTTTTTATATGACTTGTAGAGCATAAATTATTACTCTTTCTGCATAAGTGGCTGCTTTCTAGGCTGCTTTTAGCGAGATTGTTAGAAACAAATGATTGGTGCTGTGAGGAAGAAGCAGCACTCAGGCAAAAAAGTTTTCTCAGCAAGACAATTTGCTTCTGCAAGTATGCTGCTTGCATTAGTCATGATTGCAAGAGCACACCAAACGGGGTGGAGCAGGGGTTCTTATCCCTAATGCACTCCCTACCTCTGTGTCATTCCAACATGGGCTGGGGTAGGACTGCACAATCTTAGCTGACTCAGCTGGATATTGTGAATATTTTCTCTAATAAGAAAGGGAGGGGGAATGTGAGTTACAGATTGGGGCTGGTAGGAAGAGTTGTTTACAAGGCAGGTTACTAAGCAGGTAACTAAGCTGGTAAGTAGGGTCGAGAAGGTACAGGGAAATTGTTCTTAGGAACAGAGAACAAGGAAGTTGAACAAGTTAAACCTTTGAAGAGGAACTTACTGTACCTAACAATTCCCCCCTCTTAATTTTTGTAATTCTTCCTCTTCAAACTTTTTTAGCATGTCTTTGCTTTGCTGTTCTGCTTGGTTTTCTAGAAGGAAAAGCTTATCTGAATAGGGTGGAGGAGAGCTAAGAGAGGTTTTGGTAAGTTCTGTGTCTATGAGTCTTTGCAGTAGTCCACAAATGTATGGTATGATACAGCATCCAACAAGAATAAGCACACCTATAACGATTGCAAGAGAAGTAAATATTGAGGACATTAAGCCTTTCCATTTTCCAGACCATTTCTCCATTAAACTTGTAAAGGGATCATTTATTCCAGAATTGCTTGCTAACTCATTGGATAAGGAGGTTAGGTCCTGCAAAGCTTTTGTTACTGTTCCGTCAGGGGCTGTGTTATTAGGAATAAAAGTACATCATTGGACTCCAATCATGACACAGACACCACCTTTTTCTGCTAGCATCGTATCTAGGGCTATCCTGTTTTCCCAGACTATTTAGTTAATGGGACCTAATTGGGAGGCTGTTCCCTTAATGGCATGTCTTGTGTAGTTAACAAACCTTTGTTGGTTGTAATAAATGTAGTTTATCCGATCTACATTTTTATTTACAGTTGACCACCAAAACAGCACAGATTCAAATCCTGAAGCTGTTTGATTTCGGGCCTTAAATTTATCTGGTACCCCTCGTGGAACTCCAGTAGCATCTTTATAAACGTGGGAGTCAAAGGACCCATGAAGGTCACTTCTTCTCTTCTGATTTTCTCTTCTATTATGTTAATGGAATGCTAGGGTGAAAGGGATGGCCAGTTGGACTAGAGCACAAGTACCACTCCAGTTACTTGGCAGAGTGTCCAGTAAGGGTCCACCACAATACCACCATACGTATGCTCGAGGATGAACAAGGGCAGACTGACTGGTAAGCTCTTGGGAGAGTTTAAGTTCACCGCATCCCTTTAGGTCTTCATGAAATGCCAAGTTTTCCCCTTGTTGTGAGAGACCCGAGGTAAAAATTGGTGTCAATAGATGGAGGCTGGATGGCCCTCAGGGACTGACCTGCAGGGTGTTGGACTTTAGGGAATAGCAGAGAGAGAGCTTGGCAAGATTCATTACCCCAGGCTGTGGGGTCTTGGAGAAGAGCTACCATACAGCTCATGCCCAGTTGGCTGGAAGACCATCCGAGTGGAAAGGGGACAACCTGGGCCTCTGGCCTACTGTGCGCACAAGTGTAACAGTTGCTTTTGTTTAGAGTGCGGACAGAATATTTAATCCATTCTAACCAAGCATTTGCATCTTGGTACCCTGTCTCAGTTGCTATGGTTTGTTTCAAATTTTTAACTTCTACAATGGCTTACCTTGATTTTATCCTTGGTTGAAGGAAGAACAGCGGTTTCGTTGAGAGAGAGTGTAGAAGGAGGTGGAGGAGGTGAGAAAGTAATGAAATGCATTTCAAAGGATTCTATAAGATGTGTCCCTGCTATTTTGGCTCCTATGCCGTATAAGCGACTTAAAGTAGGTTTAGGGTTGGCAGAAGTGGGGATAAGAATAGAAATTTGCACTGGATTACATTGGTTATACTGGCAGTCAGGGGGTGGGGAATGTTTCCTTTAACAAAGCAAACATGGTTTTAGAGACTTACAACTGCCTGTTGACAAAGCCCTGATGTTCAGTTGTCCACATAATATCATTCCAGCTGTGGCAGGCCTGTTTCCCTACATTTCTTAAGGAACAAGAGTCGTAATGGGGGAGGCTTTTGTCTGAAAGGGACGGAGATACTTCTCTGAGGCTGAGAGTTGCTTTTGACTTTGGAGATCTCCACAGGATATAACAAGGCAAGCATCAAAGGTAATAGTTTGGGGTGAGCTCGACCTAGTTACATTAATAACGAGAGGACTAGCAATAGAAGGGGAAAAGAAATATAGCATAAGAGGATCAAACCCGTTTTAGCTTTAACTTGGTTGGAATTGGCCCTGAAATAGCTGTCCATGATTCTGGAGTGGGTGGTGCTCTTTTGACTCAGGTATGGTGAGTCCATTCTTTTTCAGTGGTGTGGACGGCTGTCTCAGTCATTAGAAACACTAGATAATGTCCCTCCCAGGTGGGCTTGAGCTTCCTTTCTTTCTGACCTTTGATGAGAATGTGGTCACTGTCCGGGCTGGTGGTGGTGAACTGGAAATTCAAGGGGTGGTGTATGTGCCAAGAGGCCTTTAGTCCTAAGGAAAGAGAAAGTGGAGGATAGACCAAGTATATAGTTCTTGAGAAACAGATCTTTTGTTTCGAACGAGGAATGTCAGCAGTGGAGTGTAGATAAGGCAACTCATACAGCATTTCATAAGGAGGTGAGCCGACATCTTTCCTAGGGGCAGTTTGGAATCTTCACAAGACCATGGGGAGGCATTTAGTCCATGGCAACCGAGTCTCTAGGACTAATTTGGTTAGGTGGTTTTTCAGAGTCTGATTCATTCTTTCTACTCTTCCTGATGAAGGTGGGTGCCAGGGGTTATGGTAGTCCCATGTTATATCTAGTACTTGGGCTAGTTTCTTAAGAACATGTGCAGTGAAATGAGTCCTGTTGTCTGAATCAGCATTTTCTATTAATCCAAACCTGGGTATAATATTTTCAACTAATGCCTTGAGTACATTACTAGCAGTTGCACTTGAAAAGGGAATAGCTTCTACCCAATGAGTAAGGTGATCTATCACTAATAAATATTTTAAGTGACCAATTGGGGGCATTTCGGCATAATCAATTTGGACAATTTGGAACAGCCTTAATCCTGGATTTCTCCCTCCAACAGGTGGTTTTCTGAGGATCTGCTTATTAGTCTTCTTACATACTAGGCAACTATCTGTAACTTGTCTTGCCAAAATGTAAATTCCTATACATCTGTAGACCCCGAGGACTGCATCACACTTAGCTTGAGGTCCCTAATGAGTCCCTTGATGCAGATGAAAGAGGATTTCCCTCATGAGGGGTTTGGATAACATTTCTCTTTGGTCTGGTGACACCCATTTCCCTTCTGAATTTTCTTTGGCTCCTATTTTTATTAATTTTTCCTTTTCAGCGGGAGAAAAGATGGGGACTGCAGTCGAGGGAGGAAGGCAAGGGGCTAAGTGAAAAACAGGCATTTTCAGAGGAAACGGCAGTGTGTTTGGCTATTTGATCTGCTAGGTTATTCCTTCCGCTTTGAAAAGAAAGACCTTTCTGATGTCCTGGAACATGGACAATAGCTATTCTGGCAGCTGCAGGTTATCTAATACTTGGGTGATTAATTCTTTGTGGCCCAGGTCTTGGCCTTTGCTATTAATAAGATCTCGTTCAGTCCAAATTTTTCCAAAGGTGTGAGCTGCCCCAAAGGCATACTTGGAATCAGTATAAATAGTCCGTTCTTGGTTTTGCAAGTGCTTTAAGGCTTGATTTAATGCAAACAATTCATTCACATGTTTGGGCAGACCAATTATTTGGCAGGCTTCCTGACTCTACTTCTTCAAGTGCCTCCCCATCTACTACTGAGTACCTATTACGCCTTTTTCCTTCAATTACTTGGGAAGAGCCATCTATAAAGAAGCCCTGCCCCGTTTTGTAAGGGGTCTCTCTTAAATCAGGCCTAACTTTTGTATGATCATTAAATCTAAACACTCATGCTCAGGTCTCTTTAGATTTGAATCTCCAGTCAGGAAACCTCTGGGTTAAGTGAATTATCAGTGGTTAGTGTTAAATCATCTCTTTCTAACAGGATAGCTTCATACTTTAAAATTCTCAAGTCAGTAAGCCACCTTCCTGCCTTTTAATTTAAGATGGCTCTAACCTGATGGGGCATGTTTACAACTAACTTTCCCCCAAAGGTTAGTTTTCTGCTTTCTTTAGTTAACAAGGCGGTAGCTGCAATGGATTGAAACATTCAGGCCATCCACAGGTTACTGGATCTAAAACTTTTGATAGGAGATCCATGGGTTGCTGGTGACCTCCGTGTTCTTGGGTAAGGACCCCTAAAGCTACCCCCTTATTTATGTTAACAGAAAGGTGAAATGGCTTTTCTAGGGAAGGCAAAGCTAAAACAGAGGCAGTTATAAGCAGATGTTTTAGCTCCTCAACCTGGTGGAGTTCTTCAGAAGTCCAGAGGAGAGGGTCAGGCTTTTCTTGGGTGATTTTTAGGTAGAGAGGCTTTATGACAAGGGCATATGAGTCAATCCATAAGCGGCAATATCCGGCTATCCCTAGGAATTTTCTGAGTTCTTGTTTAGTCTTAGGCAAAGGTATGGATACAATCCCTTCAACCCTCTCAGGCCCTATCCTTCGTTTGCCGTTACTTATTAAGTGTCCTAGGTATTTAACTTCAGGCTCTATGAATTGAAGCTTTCTCTTTGAAACCCATAGCCCCTCTCCTTACAAATGGTTAAGGATATGGATGGAGAAAGCAGATACCTTTTCTATAGCCTAACCGGATATTAATAAGTCATCTACGTACTGGAGCAGACATATACATTTTGGGGTATAAACTTGTTCTAACACTTGTTCTAGAATTTGACCAAAGAGATTAGGGGAATCTGTGAAGCCCGGGGGTAGAGCTGTCTATCGATACTGTTGCTGTCATCCAGAATGGGGATCTTCCCATTCGAAAGCAAAAATGTCTCAGCTGTCCTCATCCAAGGAGCATGCTCAAAAGGCATCTTTTAAACCTATTACTGTAAACCATTGATGTTCATATGGAATTTTACTGAGAATGGTTTAAGGATTAGGGACAACAGGATGGGTAGTCTAGACTGTCTGGTTGATGGCCCAGAGGTCTTATGCTAGTCGACATGACCTATCTGGTTTCTTCACAGGCAGTATTGGGGTGTTATAAGGGGACATACAGGGTTCAAGGAGCCCATCCTTGATGAGGCTTTCAATTACAGGTTTCAGGCCTATTCTGCCTTCTAAAGGAATAGGATATTGCTTTCTTCTTACTATTTCTCCAGGGGTTTTTAACTTTATATGTATAGGGGGAATTTGGAGTTTTCCCCAATTTCCTTCCCTTGCCCAAACATCAGGATGAATGTATGTTTCTTCTGCAGTGGTGAGCAGGTTTAATGAAGTGTAGAATCCTTCTGAGCCAATATGTAAACCTATACCTAATTTTAACATTAAGTTTCTTCCTAATAGATTAGTTCCTGCCTCTGAAATTAACAAAAATTCAACATTAGCTGAGCAGTTTTTACATCTAATTTCTGTTTCTTTTAAAATTTTTAGTTTGATTCCCTCTCCTTTTACCCCTGAGACTACAAGCTCCTCTGAGGACCAGGTTATATTGTGGGGGAAGGTAACAAACAGAGGAGCAGGCTGCTCCTGAGTCTACTAAAAAGGTCATAAGCTCAGATTTGGGTTCCACTTCTAAATTTATCAAGGGCTCTTGGTGGGATTCAAGGTAAAAGAGACAGAGCCCCTAACCCCCCTATTCCTCCTCAAAGGTCGTAAGTGGGACGACTTCTCTTTCTGATTTTAATTTGGGACAATACCTCTTGAAGTGGCCTACTTTCTCACAATTGAAGCATTGATTCTGTCTCTTCTCTCTATTTTTGGGTTTCTCGGCTTTGCCTCCTTATGTTCTTTATATGGCTTAGGAAGTGGGGGCCTAGGATCTTTATAGGTTTTGGCTCTCGGGAGGCTTTGTTTGGGAGTGTGTGGGTCTCTGGGTAACAGAGAGTAATACTGGTGTGTTTTATCCTTTGGGGCCCCCTGTTGGAAGGTGGATAACATAATTTTCATTTTTTCTTTTTGCTTCTCCTCATCCCTCCTTACACACACTTTCTGAGCTTCTCTAAGAAGCTCGTTCGTGGGATGGTCCTTCCAATTTCCTATCTTTTGTAATTTCCTTGTGATATCTGGCTGTTAGTAACAAAATGAAGCTTTAACATTCACTGCCTAAGAGGATCTTCTAAATCTAGGCCAGCATATTTTCTCATTTGTTCTTTCAACCTGTCTAAAAGTTCGATAGGCCCTTCATCTTTCCTTTGTTGTATGTCGAATGCTCGAGTAAGATTTTGGGTTCGGAGTACTGACTCCCGAATCCCTTTTATTATCATTTTCCTAAGTTCTTGCGTATCCTCTTCAGTGGGCTGCGTTATTATTGTCCCAGCAGGGGTCTTGGTTGGGGAATTTTTGATCCGCTGCATGAATGTTTTGGCCAGGAGGGTGTTCATGTTCCCAGGCTACCATAGCAGCTCTACAGATGATGCTTCTTTCTTCCCCTGAGAAAAGGATGCCTAGGATGGACATTAACTCAGCCCAAGTATATATAACTGTGGTCCTAGAAATTGGTTAATTCGATCTGCTATTCCACTGGAGTTGTCTAATAGTGTGGCTTGAACTCTGTTTTTAGGTTTTGGACCTCCGAGCTGGTTAAAGGAGCATTTACAAAGTGAATACCTCCTCCTCGTAGGGACACCTCTCTTCAGGGGAAGAGAGGTGGAGCTAATTCTCCCGAGGTAGAGGGGAAGGGGAAGTTCTGAATATCCCTTTTACATTGCTCTATCTCACATTGAAGTCCTTTCAGGGAAGAGTACTTAGGGTGATAGTGAGCAGGCTGTTGGGACAATTCCCAAGAGGCAGGGTTATAAAGAGGGGGAACAATGTGGGTAGGAGAAGGGTCTGGGACAACTGCCTCTGCTTGAGGGGGAGGGAGGTTAGGGGTATTGGACGGGGGAAGGTGGTGGAGGAAGTTCCATGTGTTGGTGAGCTGTCTAGGAACAGGGACCTTATCTTTCTCAGAGGAGTTAATTTCTGACTTGCTTTTCAGGATTGATTCCTGAGTCCAAATGAAACAACAATATTTTATCATTTGCTGCTTTTTCTTGTATTTAGTCCTTTCACTCTCTTTCCAATATTTTAGCATAAGCCCTAGGGGACTATCAGGAGGAATGTTATTGTTGCTAGCTTTATCCTTTTTCTCCCCTGCATTACTTGAGGTATTTCCCATCTTGAAAAGGGATTGGGGTGAGGCTCAATTTCCCCTACTAGAAATTTCTTCCCAGTTACGAGAGGTTTGTATAAGGCTCAACCTCTCCTACTGGAGATTTCTCACCTTTCCTTTCCTTTCCTTTCCTTTCCTTTCCTAGAGGCTCAACCCCCCTGCTGGAGGTTTCTTGCACTTTTCTCCTTTCGCTTCATCCTTCTCTGGCTGCTTCCCTCACGGGAACGTTGGTTTCCTCTTAGCAATGGCTGTTTCAGTAGAAACCCCTGACCCAGACTCCTTTACAGAAGGGCTACCTTAAGCTGTATAAGGTGACCACAGAACTGCAGATCTGGACTGAACACTTGCTTTGCACTCAATTGTGAGTCTCAACACACACTTTCAATCTCCAAGATATCCCAACCACCAAGAAAATACTTTGTCGCTCTTGTGATGTTTCTTACATTGGTCTGTGCACATAGTTACCTGGTCACCATGGTATGTGAGGATCCTTTTCTCTTAAGTTGTTGGTCTGTTCCTTTCCAGACTGCTGAGAGTCCGGGTTTATTCATCACACTGGGTGGGTCCTGATCCCTCACCATGAGGCCACCTCAATGAGGCAGTGGGATGCTTCTCCTCACTATTGGTGACTGGAGACCCTTTTCTCAGAGGAGAATGGGAATTCCGGACGAGCCCCCAGATTGTTAGAAACAAATGATCAGGCTGGGCGCAGTGGCTCGCCCCTGTAATCCCAGCACTTTGGGAGGCCGAGGTGGGCGGATCATGAAGTCAGGAGATCGAGACCATCCTGGCTAACATGGTGAAATGCCGTCTCTACTAAAAAAAAAAAAATACAAAAAAATTAGCTGGGCGCAGTGGTGGGTGCCTGTAGTCCCGGCTACTCAGGAGGCTGAGGCAGGAGAATGGCGTGAACCTGGGAGGTGGAGCTTGCAGTGAGCTGAGATCAAGCCACTGTGCTCCACCCTGGGCAACAGAGCGAAACTCTGTCTCAAAAAAAAAAAAAAAAAAAGAAAGAAAAAAGAAACAAATGATCAGTGCTGCAAGGAAGAACCAGCACTCAGGAAAAAAAGTTTTCTCAGCAAGACAACTTACTTCTGCAAAAGAGTGCTGTTTGCATTAGTCACGAATGCAAGAGCACACCGAGCGGGATAGAGCAGGAGTTTATATCCCTAACGCAGTCCCTACCTCTCTGTCATTCCCACATGGGCTGGAGTCGGACTACACAATCTAAGCAGACTTGATTTGCTATCGCGAATATTCTCCCTAATAAGGAAGGGAGAGGGAATGTGAGTTACAGGTTGGGACTGATGGGAAGAGTTGTTTACAAGGCAGGTAACTGAGCAGATAACTAAGCAGGTAAATAGGGGTGAGAAGGTACAGGGAAATTGTTCTTAGGAACAAAGAACAAGGAAGTTGAACAGGTTAAACCTTTGAAGAGGAACTTACTGTACCTAATAAGTTTTTTTGATTGGCTAATTAAATGTCTATTCATTATTGCCAAAAAGTGCCTACCCCAACAACAAGATACCAAATTTTAGAAAATGTTGGAGCTCTCTCTGAATCTAGGAGGAAGTGAGTAGTTTAGCTTTTATTTAGTAGTTAGGACCTTAAGTAAATCACTTTTTTTACTGTGTTTCTGTATAACATAGATAATATTTTTTGCCCTGCAAGAGAGCATATAGAGGAAAGCTCTTTGGCAGCGATACTGTGCCCTATGAATAAAAAAGTGATGGTGTCATTTGTGGCTGAATAACAGTTTATTTTGAGAATGCTTTATAACAGCTTTTCATGGGAAATAAAGCAATGCTGTTAACTTCATCTTGCATTTTTCTCATTTTTACTATGATTAAAAGGTAGTCAGCTTGTACAAAGGAAAGAAACAAGCCTTGACTCAGGAGCCTAGGACTTTTTCTTTGGTTTGCCCTCCTGGAACAGATTACCTTTCCAAATTGAATTTGTGGAGGAGCATTGGGAAATATCAGAAATGTCATATTAAGCACCTCAGTGGTACTTTTAATAGAGGAGTTATTCAGAAATTATACTAGGCAGATAGAGAGGGTAAGGAGGCCTCAGTAAGGCTTTCCCTTTTAATAGAAACAACTCCAGAAACATTTCTTTTTCTTTTCTTTTTATCTTTTTTTTGGAGACGGAATCTCGCTCTGTCACCCAGGCTGGAGTGCAGTGGTGTGATCTCAGCTCACTGCAGCCTCTGCCTCCCAGGTTCAAGTGAATCTCCTGCCTCAGCCTCCTGAGTAGCTGGGACTACAGGCTGCCAAGCTTTGATATGCAAATGCCAGCGCTTAGAAACTGTGTCCATTCAACATGGAGATTCCCACCCTCTTCTTCTAGTCACCACCTCAAGGTGACACCTCCAGATGACCCCATGTGTGCAGGACAACATGGTGACCTACATTTGCATATTAAAAGGCTAGGGTGGGAGGGCCACGTTTTTCTCGGGCTACATGAATGACCTGCCTGGTCAAACCAATGCCCTGGGCCCTGTGCAAATCAGACACCACCTCCTCCAGCCTCCCAATATAACCGAGTACTGTTCTGCCACACACGGGGCTTTTTCTCTGTTCAGACCCCCTTTTTCTGTACCGCAGGGAGCCTTTCTTCTTTCTTGTCTATTAAACTTTCTGCTCCTTAAAACCACTCCTGTGTGTCCATGTCGTTTAACTGGCGTGAGACAAAGGACCCCGATGTTTCTCCCGTTTTCAGAGCCATATCACTTTGAGTCCAGAGGAATTATTTTCATTTATCTGACCAATTTATAATATAGGGTCAAATTCCTAGTGGTTATCCTCCCTCATCCCCATTTTTATACCCTTCCTTGAAAGGAACAGGTATATGAAGAGGAGACAGGTTTCCCTTTTGTGAATAGTATATCCCTTAGTATCTTGAATTTTTTTTGGTGGGGGTGGGGGGAGTTAAACTTACTTAGACCTGGTAAAGGGCAGTATTTGATAAATGTCAGCTAGTTTAGGGTTAGGGAATTGAGTTGAATGGAGATAGTCACTGCCAAATGTAAAGCATGACTGGAGAGCCACAGTGATGAAGCCAGGGTCCCTTTCTCCAGATCCTTTGTAACAGTGTTATGTGATCTCTTCTAGAAGATTGTTCTGAAAGATAATGCCAACTCGGAACCTAGGAAACCATCCAGTGGGTTTCTGCAGCTTAGGTGGTTCAAATCCTCATCAGCACGTTTGTTTTCTCTGCCTCAGTTTGCTTACAGTGATGTTCTCAGTAGCTGTAATTGCTGTCTTTGAATACTTAAGCATTTTTTTTTAGCTCACAGGGGTATGTGTGCATTTTTCTTTTACCAAGTGTTAGAACTTTGACTCTGCTTTTGTGGGCTCTGGTTTAGCAACTTGGTTGTTTAGTTGTAAAATGATTAGTAGGGAAAACCGTGTGTGTGTGTGTGTGTGTGTGTGTGTATTTTAAGTTTCTTTTGTTCTCAGAGCACTTAGAATTTTATATGGAAATTCTATCAGTTTACTTGATTCTCCACCCCACATTTCTTAAACAGCAAAGTATGAAGGTAATGTGTCCCATAACCAGCCTTCAGAAGAATTACAGCTGCTGTGTCTCTGAACTTTCAAGAAGTTTGTGCATCAATTTTCAAAAAATTATGAAATCCTTGAAGATAGCTGTGTTCTACATTTGGAAAGATACAAAAACTGAACCTTCTAGCAGGCAGTTTTGCTTGCTGGTGCTTGAGATAGAGCCACACATTGGTCTCAGTGGATTTATGGAGAAAAATAGGTACAGAAAGTTATTTCTAAATAAGACCAAAAATCCTTTTCTTAAGCAGTGACAGGTAAAGAGGTTGTCTTGGCTAATATTGAATTGTGTTGCCCTTGATTGAGACAGTTTTATGGTGGGGATGGTAGTGGTGATAAACTTGTTTGAAATTTGTCCACCTATAGTAACCTTTGTGGTAGCTGTCACAGACAGCTTCATCCTCACAGGCCCTAAAATTACTATAAAACTAATAGATTGGAGGAGAAACAAAGGACCTGAATAATTAGATGCTTAGATAATTGTTCTGTGTTTTCATAACAAGTGAAAAAGAGCAGTGTTAGAAGTACTTAAACTTTCCATGTAAGGAGCACTGCCTGAATTTATATTGTGATTTTAGAGCATCATTCACTGTTTAAAAACAGGCATATTGTGGGTCATATTTTAAAGACAAACAGAAAACTTATCTTTTCAAGATGGATCTAAAGCTTAACCTTATCAAAATTACAAAATGTGAAGGATATGATTGAAAAATATTAATGCATAGGTTTAAATATTGGTCATCATTTTAGATGTCTTTCAAAATAGGTTGTCTCTTAAATATTAAACTGAACAAACATTGAACTTGTTGTAGAGTTTGTGCTCAAGGTTAAGTTTCCTGGGGTGATGGATATTTGATAATATGGATAACAAAAAGTTCTTAAGAAATTTAGAAAATTTTTAGGCAAAACTAGAAAATAATACTGATAATTCTACCACTCAGAATGTACCACTATCAGAATTTTGTATCTTTCAGTCATCTGCTCATCTCTTTTCTCCTTTGCTTGTATGTGTTCCCTCTCCCTTAAAAAATCAGATTTTTTTTTGTAATCTGCATTTTCACTCAATATTGTAGATCTGTGTCATAAGTTACTCCTCTACAGTGCCTTCAGTTATTGTGTGCTTTGTGTTGGATGACTGTACCATCTAGTCTTTCGTGTTTCCTGGTACTGACTACATAGGGGTGAGTGTGTGTGTGTGTGTGTGTGTGTGTGTGTGTGTGTGTGTATATTTTTTTTCTACCTTAACTAATGCTTTGGACATCATCAACAGGTAGAGCTAAATCCTTGAAACCTTCCAAGTGGTGGCTTTCAGTTATTGCTGAATTGGTTTTTAGAGATGGAACAAATTATATTGTATGGAAACTTTTTTTTTTTTTTTGAGACAAAGTCTCACCTTGTCACCCAGGCTGGAGGGCAATGGCATGATCTTGGCTCACTAAAACCTCCACCTCCCAGGTTCAAGTGATTCTCTTGCCTCAGCCTCCCGAGTAGTTGGGATTACAGGGGCCTGCCACCATGCCCGGCTAATGTTTGTGTTTTTACTAGAGATGGGGTTTCATCATGTTGGCCAGGCTTGTCTCGAACTCCTGACCTCAGGTGATCCACTCACCTTGGTCTCCCAAAGTACTGGGATTACAGGCATGAGCCACCATACCCAGCCTTTTTTTCTTCTAGGTACCAGCTTTTATTTATCAGATTGGTATAAATGTTAGAAAGCGTGCAATGAAATGGGCATTTTCACAGTCGTGGCAGAAAGTATAATTATCTTTGACTTTCTAGAAAGCAGTCTGGCATTCTAGAAACTTGCCTAACCTCTTCCCATTTAGACAAGATGAGTTCTGACAGGGCCAGCCTTGTCCCTGTGATTCCGTATCTCCCAGAAAGAGAGGTCTAGTGTCAGGGAAAACCCAGATTTTCTTGGCTTAGCCCACCTGACAGCTAATCACTGGAAATGGGGTGGGCCGGTAGAGTCCTTTGGTCAGGTTTTGTGTCAAGAGAGGGATGTGGAAAGATGGGAGAGAGGTAGCAAAACTGGCCTCAATGGAACTATGTAAGTTAACATAGAATGGCAAAGGAATGTTTCTTCCAAGGAAGAAATTCTAGGGAAGGAATAAAGTGGAGGGGAAGGCAGCAGTTCTCAAAGTTTTGGGGTCAGGATTCCTTTACACTCTTAAAAGTATATTGAGGGCCCAAGGAGCTTTTGTGTATGTAGGTTATATCTATTGGTATTTATCACTAGAAATTAAATCAGAAATACTTAAAATATTCCTTAAAAGCTCACAAAATATTGTTATAAATGCTTTTATGATAAGAAAATTTCTAAACCCAAGGTAGTACAGTCTTACGTCTTTTGCAAATTTCTTTGATGTTTGATATGTCATTTGTACCTGCATTCAATTTATTGTGTGATATTTGCTTGAAAAAATGTGAACAAAGGACAGTCTCATACAGATAGGCATTTCAGATCATTATGGATATTTCTTTTTGCTTTCTTTCTTTTTTTTTTTTTTGAGATGGGGTCTTTCTCTGTCTCCCAGGCTGGAATGCAGTGCTATGATCACGGCTCACTGGAGCCTCATTCTCTGGGGACTCAGGTGATCCTCCCACCTCAGCCTCCAGAGTAGCTGGGACTACAGGTGTGTACTACCCCACCTTGCTAATTTTTTGTATTTTTTGTAGAGATAGGGTTTTGCCATAGGTATTCAAATAGAAAGTTTTGTTTTTGTTTTAGTATATAAAGAAATATAACTTTCCATGTTGGAAAAATTTTTAAAACCTTTTTTTAATTTTAAAACTCATAAGCAACCATTGTTGAGAAAATTGGTAAAGTACAGAAAAGATAAAAGAAAAAAATTAAAGTCTCCCATAATTTCTCTATCTAATATAACCACTATTGACTGTTGACATGATGGTCATTTTCTACCAGTATATAGTTTTTCTTTGCTATTAAAATACATAACCCTTACACATATGCTTAATAGTTGAGGTCATATTCTCTATAGTTTTATATTCTTTTTTTTTTTTTTTTTTTTTTTGAGACAGAGTCTTGCTCTGTCACCCAGGCTGGAGTGCAGTGCCGTGATCTCGGCTCACTGCAAGCTCCACCTCCTGGGTTCCCACCATTCTCCTGCCTCAGCCTCCCCAGTAGCTGGGACTACAGGCGCCCGCCACCATTCCCGGCTAATTTTTTGTATTTTTTAGTAGAGATGGGGTTTCACCGTGTTAGCCAGGATGGTCTCGATCTCCTGACCTCATGGTCTGCCCACCTTGGCCTCCCAAAGTGCTGGGATTACAGGCGTGAGCCACTGTGCCTGGCCCTTTTATATTCTTTTAAAAAGTATTTACTGTATTTTCCTGTGATGTCATAGTCTTTATAGAAAATTTATCATTATTTTCAGTTGACATGATTGTTTACCTAAAAATATCCAAAGGAACCAACTGAGAAAAACAATTTTTAAGATTACTGGTTAAAAGTTCTTTTATATAAAAATCAATAGCCTTCCCCAGTGTTAGCTATAATCACGTAGAAGATATAGTGATGAAGTATTTTTTCAGGTATTTCAGCAAAAATTAAATACCTAGGAATAAACTTAGATGTGCAGGACTTTTATCAAGGACAGGACAAAATTTTGCTGAGTGGAATGAAAGATTTGCATTCTATGTTCCTGGATGAGCAGATTTCATGTTATAAATATGTTAGTTATCACCATGTCTTCATATTAATTTGTAAATGTAATTTCTGCTGGGCACAGTGGCTCATACCTGTAATCCAAACAGTTTGGGAAGCTGAGGCGGGTAGATGACAATTAGCTGGGTGTCTGTGGCACACACTTGTATTTCCAACTACTTCTGAGGCTGAGGTGGGAGGAGCACTTGAGCCTGGGAGGCAGAGGTTGCAGTGAGCCGAGATCATGCCTCTGAACTCCAGCCTAGGTGACAGAGTGAGACCCTGTCTCAAAAAAAAAAAAAAAAGAACTAGAAAAGTGTGTGTGTATATATATATATATATTTCATATTTTATAAATATTTATATATATAAATTGTATATATACATTTTATATTTTATATATAGTGTGTGTGTATTATATATATACACACACACAAATTTCAGTACAAATTCTGGCAGATTTATTTTTGACACTTGACAAAACGACTCTAAAATTTGTTTAGAAGAATAAGTAATAAAAAGTAATAAAGTATAGACTCTTTCAACCAGATAGTAAATAAAATATTGTGGACTATCCCTGGGCCAGACAGATAAAGGCAATGGAAGTTTAGAACCAGAGTCATGCAAACGAGAATTTAGTATAAGGAAAAGGTGGTATTTTAACTTAATACTGAAAAGATAGATTATTCTGTAAATGGTTTTAGGAGAACTATTTGAGGAAGTCTGAGTCTTAACTCCAATTTTTGTCAAAATAAGTTAGTTGGTTTAAACACATCTATTCTTAAAAATTAGAACAGAAGAATATTGGTTTGAAGATATTTTAAGAGTTAAGGCTGAGGCTGGGCACAGTGGTTCACGCCTGTAATCCCAGCACTTTGCGAGGCCAAGGTGGGAGGATTGCTTGAGCCCAGGAGTTTGAGATCAGCCTGGGCAACACAGCAAGACTCTTTCTCTCTCTCTCTCTCTCGATATAGATATACATATAAATATACGTATACAAATAGAAAAAAAAAAGAGTTAAGTTTTGTATGGAGAGCCATGAAGATAAGAGGTAAAAATTAAAGGCTTGATGGACACATGTTTACATCTCCATCAAGGGGGTTGATGGGAAAGAATGATAGACATAGCTCCATTACTGCTACCTCCTTTTAGGAAGTTGCTTCTGAACATCTAAAGATATCAGTTTTATAATAGAAATGAGTTATTTTTCAGTGTCTAAAACATCACATGAGATACATACATACATGCATACATACATAAATATGTTCATAAAGTTAAATGAAATAGGATATAAAATTGGGCCTAGTGTTTAAAAGGTAAATATATTTACATGAAGGAGAAAACAACTCACCTCCCACTCTTAGAGCCTCTGCCAGTTTATCATAGCCTAGTTTCTTGAGAGAATAAGCTACATGTCTTCACCTTTTTTCACTGAGCTCATTATACTCTGGATTCTGCCTTCATCGTTGCACTAAAATTTATCTCCTAGTTGTCAAATCCAGTGGCTCCCCTCTTAGTCCCCAAATTGACCCCTCTGCAGTATTTTGATACTGTTGATTGTTCCTTTGTTGAAACATTCCTCCATTCTTAATGTCCACCAATAAAGAGTTGGTTAAATAAAAATTATAGTGTGCCGTTTTATAATAGAATATTCTGTTGTTCTGTTGTGGACCAAAAAATGCAGCCAGTCTTTCCATAAGAGCACGTGCAAACTTCTAAGATATATTAAGTAAAAAAGTAAGGCATAAAATATTGTGTATAATCTGACCCCTTTAGTACACAGTGTAAAAACATCTGTGTCTGTGCTGCTTTATACTTACTTTTTTCTCCCCTGGTGAATACAGGAAACTGTGAATAGTACAACACAATTAAAAAAAAAAAAACTGTGTGTCTGCTGCACCAGGACCTGTGATAATTGGGTATAAAAGACAAAAAAGACATGTCCCTGTCCTCTGGGAAGGGACATGATAATCAAATGAGACTTCTGTCGGATTCTTTTCTCCTGTTTTGATCTTATCACCCTTTCTTGGTCTCCTCCGATCTCTTCTTCCTTGTCCTACTTCTTCTCTTCTCATTCTGTGCTTTCTCTGAGTAATCTTTGACTCCCATTACTTAAGTCATGACCTGTGTTCCAGGGACTCCTAAATTTGTATTCATCTCCAGAGTTTCAAACCCATATATCTGTCTGTATATCATATATTTAGGGAATCTCACTTGGAGTGACATGGGTGTTCAAAATGATGATATTTAAATTTTCACGTATCCATCTCCTAGCACTCTATCTAGTCACATATGCCTAAACCTGGGAACTGTCTTAATATTCTTTTATATACACCTGTTCTGACCTCCCCCCAAAACTAGTAAATTTCTAAGACCTGTCCTTCTGAATGTCTCTTACAATTTTTCCTGTGATCTCAGTTTCTTCCTCCCATCCCTCAAATGCTTTGTGTGTGTGTGTGGTGGGGGAAGAGAGTAAAATTGAAATTTGTGGAAAACGTACTAGCCTGTCTGTCTGTCTTTCGAGGTGAAGTCTCCCTCTTGTCCCCCTGGCTGGAGTGCAATGGCACAATCTTGGCTTACTGCAACCTCCATCTCCTGGGTTCAAGCAATTCTCCTGCCTCAGCCTCCTGAGTAGCTGGGATTACAGGCACCTGCCACCATGCCCAGCTAATTTTTGTGTTTTTAGTAGAGATGGGGTTTCATCATGTTGGCCAGGCTGGTCTCGAACTCCTGACCTCAGGTGATCCACCCGCCTTGGCCTCCCAAATTGCTGGGATTACAGGTGTGAGCCACCATGCCTGGCCACTACCCTGTCTTGTTGCTTGGTATGACTCCACTACCCTGCTGCCTCTCTCCCCGTACAGCAGCATAATTTAGGAATCAGAGAGACTGAGGAGGATATATATTATTAGGTGCACCGGCCCAGTCAGATTAACATCTAAAGGACTGAGCCCTGAACAAAGAGTCAGGTTACCTTTTAAGCATTTTGTGTCGGTCATTATGCCGACAAGGTGTCCGCACTAAGTTCAGTATCAGTATGGTGACCTCCTGGGAACAGGGGGCCATCGGGTTGCCTAAGGATGGGAGAACTGGCTCAGGTCAGAAGGGGAGCAGGTCAGAATTCCTGCGCCAATCGGTAGTGGGACTGTGCCTGGGCAATATAGCAAGATCTTGGTTCTTAAAATTCAAAATAAAGAACAGCTCATTCCCCTCTGGGGAGGGGCTGGCTCAAGGTTACACAGTGAGTGTGGGGGCAGAGGCGGGCCCACTGTACCTCCCTTGTTGGGTTGTCTGAGGACCCCTCTGGCCACCCCCCACAGGAGATGGAGGAGGACATCTGGACAGTGAGCAGGAGGCGCCTCGGCCCATGCCGAACATCCCAGGGGACCTGGAGACCCGGGAGGCCATGGTGAGCCTGACTTTCCCTGCCCCTACTTTGCCACCTTCCTCTGTGGTCCCTCCGAAACCCCCTTATGTTCTTGGTTTCCCCGCCTTCTGACTTCTGTGGACTTTCACTCCTCCTGGGAGCCAGTGGTCAGACACCATTTCACCTGTGACCAACAGGTGCACTCTGTGAGGCCCGAAAGGAAGGGGCTATGCTCCATCTGCCTGCCCCAGTTGTTATGTGTATACCCCTACAAGAATACTCACCTCTTGTCTTCAGGTGGCATTTTTCAACTCCGCTGGAGCCAGTGCCCAGGAGGAACAAAGGGTGTGCTGCCAGCCCCTGGCTCACCCAGTGGCCTCGTCCCAGAAGAAGCCAGAGGTAGCGGCCCCAGCCCCAGAGAGTGGGGGTGAGTCTGTGTTTGGGGAGACCCACCGGGCCCTGCAGGGGGCCATGGAGAAGCTGCAGGTGAGTAGGTCCTGGCATGGGCCAACAAGGGGGGCGGTGGGGCAGGACAAGGCAGGTGACTCCTGACATGTGACCCCATTATTTTGGCTCCACAGCGACTTTATGGAAGGAGAAGGTGGACCTGAAGGAGCGGGTAGAGAAACTAGAGCTTCAATTCATCCACCTCTCAGGACAGACAGACACCATAGTGAGCGAGAGGCTAGGGCACCGCTGGGGGGAGCTGCCAGGCCATCCGAGGGGCCCCAGCATCTGAGCCATGTCCTCCTGCAGGAAAGTACATCAGCCAGGGGGCAGTGTCAGAGACGCAGCACTGGGAGAGGAGGACATCGTCAGGCTGGCCCAGGACCAGGAGGAGATGAAGGTAGGGTGTGCAACATCTCGGTGGGGGTGGGGGTGGAGGTGGGGGTGAACGTGCGTGCCGGCACCGGCATGGCAGCTAACACCCCTTCCTCCAGGTGAACCTGCAGGAGCTGCGGGGCAGGTGTTGCAGCTTGTGGGCGACCACAAGGAGGGGCATGGCAAATTTTGACCATTGCCCAGAACCCTGCTGATGAGCCCACTCTAGGAGCCCCAGTAGCCCAGGAGCTTGGGTGTGCTGACGAGCAGGGTGGTGAGTAGAGCCCTCAGGTGGGGTGGGCAGGCAGGAGCAGGGGAGGCTCGCACTGTGCTCAGATTCCCACCCCCCTCCCTCTCTCTGAAGATCTTTGTGAGGTGAGCCTCACTGATAGCGTGGAGGCTGCACCAGGAGAGGACAGGGAGGGTTCTCCCCACGACAACCCCACTGCACAGCAGATCCAGCAGCTGCTTCCTGTAATGCAGGACTCCCCAGGAGCACCCAGGCATGGGCAGCAACCCCTGCATGCCATTCTTTTTGGGCTCCCGAGAACAGGGAGATAAACACCACCATCATCTGAGAGCCGGGAAGGGGAAGGCGTAGGTGTGGGCGTGGCAAGGTTCCTGGAAAAGAGGGGCTGGAAGGGAAAGGGGAGGAAGATGGAGGGAGAAGCTAGAGCTTCATAGGTAGTGCCTGGGGGCTGTGGCAGCCCTCCCCACCCCACACACACTGGCCTCTCTCATGGCACCCAGGCAGTCCACCCACAGTTCAGACCAATGCTCAACCCCCCCGGCTTCCCTCTTCTGTGGTCACCCCATCTTCCAACCCACTGGCCCAGGGCCACCTCTTGCTTGGGGAGCCCCACCCAACAGCCACCAAGCCTGACAGAAGGAACACTGCTTGAACCAAAATGGTGAAGCTATAAGGGATGGCGGGCTGGAGTGAGCGCCAGAGGCCCCTCTCTGGGCAGTCAGAAAGCCCAGGGTCCACTGAAGGGACCCTGGGGAAGGCAGGGAGGGCAGGTAGCTAGATGCCACTGCCCGTAGACTTATAAGTCTAAGAGGGGAGCCTCAACTGGTTGGCGGGGGGCTGCAGGTTGCATAGGTGAGGCTGGGCCCTTCCTGCTGGGAAAAGCAGAAGAGGGAGACTCCGTGGCAGGAAAGGCAGGTGGGCTCGCTAGGCGGAGCTCAGCTGGGCCAGCAAGCACTGTGGTCTCCTTGGCTGAATAGCACAGGTGACCCCTAGGAGCAACAGGCCAAGGTCCGTGAGTCTGCTGGCTGGCAGTAGTGCTTCAGTAGCGCTGGCCAGGGACCCAGCCTTCAGTCACACGCTAGCAGCTGTGATGGTACCTGGGAAGGAGGGAAGGGGGCTGTGTGTCCTTGCATGGCCTATGAAGTGTGTTGTGGGATAACCGTGTGTATTGAACTCTCAGGCTTTTATCCTAGATCACCACTGGATTGCTGACAGATAGAGGAGGTGGGACCCTGACTATCACCCCTAATCTGCAGTGGATTTGGCTCTCGGCACTCCCAGGCTGGGAGCTGGATACCTGCCCTGGCAGCATGGCTCAGACTGCATGACAGGTACGGCGTGCCCAGGATGATGTGCCCAGGCCTCTGGCCGCCTGAGTCCAGCCCCCCACACAACCCCCTCCAAGCTCCCAGCCCCTACACCATAAACCATGAGCTCTGTGCCCTCTCTGATGGTTCCACATCTGCCACCTTGGGCATGGAGCCTGTTGTAAGAGCCCCCAGGCTCAGCCATGGAGACCTTGAGCAGTGGCACTGAGTCCTGTGGCTGGCAGGGAGGGAAGTGAGACAGCCAGCAGCACAAGGACAGAAAGAGGAAAGAGCAAGTCTGCAGCTCTAGAAGGGAGGGGCAGGCAGCCTGGCTCTGAGGCTCCAGGTATGCCCCCTGTGTGGAGCTGGGGCAGCGGGGCAGGCAGACCATTCATGCAGCAGGCAGTGAGGCATGTACCTACCATGGCTGATGCTCCTCAGGGGCCACTGATAGTGATTCTGAAAGACAGCATCAAATCACATGGCAGGTCCCATGCATGGGTGGGGCAGGCCTGGGGGTGGCGGACACACGCACACGCCAGATTGTGCACACACATGCTGTGAGGCCCCACGGCCCGCATGCACACTCTAACACATGCCCACAAACAACACGCATACGTCGCCCTCTCCGCCACCTCCCGGTGCCCAGCACCCTCACCGGCCGGCACGTGCCGCATGGATCTGGGGCGTGCAGCCACTCGGCACACTGAAGCACATGCGTGGGCAGAGTCACAACACAGATGCTCACCCGCACACAGAGGCATTTGCACCAGCTCCCTGCACACTCGTGCCTGGCGTGCTCAGAGGACCACCCATGCTGCTCAGGGAGACAGGGCTTGCTCACTAATGTCCGGCTGTCATTTCTCCACCTAAGAGCCTTCCATGGCTCCCTACTGCCTACAGCATTGAATCCCAACAAGTCATACTCTTTGGACTTTGAAGGTTCTCCACCCTGTGCCCCACCCTCCCCACAGAGCTCTTCATTCTGTCTCTGTTCCCTGCTTTGGCCAGTGGCTATCCTCATTGTGACCCACACTACACCTCTGCCCACACTGCAGCTCTTTACCCAGTTACCCTCCAGTTCCTCACAACGTATGCCTATCTCCGTCATGCCCCGGACTGCATTGAAGCCAGGCTGCCTTGAAGAAGCTCTCCCAGACTGCCCTTTTCCCCAAGGCAGGGTCATGATTTGCCAAAGGTTTCGTGTGTGTGTTAGCAAGACTGGAGTCAGAGCAGGCATCAAACTTTACATCCCATATGTCACACCTCACCATAGACCTGGGTGCCAAATAGCCTGAAGAGTCTGAACTCACGTTGGCAGTTAGGAAAGTGCTCCTACAGACGCATCTACGGTTAACATAGCATCCCTATGGCCACTGTCTCCCTTGATCCCCACAGCCATTCTAGGAGAAAGGCAGAATGTCATAATTTGCTAAAAGGGATGCTGAGGCTCTGGGAGGGAAAGGGACTTGCCTAAAGCCCCAGGGTGAAGCAGCATCTCTGGACTCCCAGTCCAGTGATCTTGCCCAATACTTTGCTGCTTGCCTATACCCCTCTAACTTGGTCAACAGCACATCACAGGGCAAGCCCCAATCCCTGCTTCATTTTTATATATGGGCGCTGGTCCCACAGCCCCACTCTCCAGCCATTTGGAAACAAAAACAGATGCTATTGTTCTTCCTTAGAGAACGTGGCCAGTGGAGACGGCACACTGGAAATCAGAGTGAATGTTCTTGAAAGAGGGTCACGGGTCAACAAGGCCCAGCCAAAGGATGCAGTAGAACCATTTTCCTTAGAAATCTTTGGGAGTGAAGTAGGCTTCAGCCACTCCCATCCCTGCCCTTGCGGCTACCACTACCCCATTAGTTTAGACAGGGTCGGGCGGGGAGGGGTGTGGAGAAGAAATGAGCTTGCCTGTGGCCCCCAGGCTCCCTCTGTCCTAGCTCAGGTCTGGGTGCCATTCTTTACACTCGTGTGCTCGCTCACGCACACATCACACACCTTGCTGGTCACACAGTCACAGACTCGCCTCTGCTCCTGTGGTCCAGTGGCCGGACACCCCCTGGGATGGCTCAAAGGAGTCAGGACTTGGAAGTGGGGACATCAGGGTAGCTGAAGGAAATCCACACACCCAGAGCATCTCGGAGTTCAGACTCTCAGACCTGAAGTAGGCGCCCCCGGGACTGGGCTAGGAGTTGGACGGAATGGAGGATGGAGGACAGCGAGAAGAAAGGAAGAGAAATGCAAAGTGTGGGCAGCCGCCAAGAGTGAAAATAGAGGGAAGTGTCATGCAAGTGCTGGACAGAAGGCGGCAGGTGGGACGAGCCCCACAGCCCCCTCCTCAAAAACGACCACCTCCAGGACTCAGTGATCCCTGGGGGGCAGGCTCTGCCAGCCCTCGGCCACACGTGGCTCCGGCACCCATGGTCCCAGTGCCTTGGATGGAGACGGCCAGTTCTGGCGGCCAGATGTGGTGCTCTGGAATCCAGTCCCATTTCCTTCCTGGCCACGCCTGTCCAGCGGCCTCTTTGGCTGCATTCAGCCCCTACTTACCTGGGGACCCCGGCTGGGGCACAAGAGCACCAGGGGGGTAGGGCCCAAAGGGATCAGGGGAAGCCTCTGGCCTGGAGGGTATGGGGCACACTTCCCCAAGGGCGGACCCAGCAGGAGGAAGCCCAGGAGCTGGGTCCTGCCGCCCAGGAGCTGGGCCCTGCCACCCAGGCCGGGCTAGGGACATGGCAGGGCCTGGGCATCCTGGCGCTGGACTTGGGCGACCTGGGAGGCACAGGGAGGGGAGAGATGGGCGGCCCCGCCCCAGCGCAGTGCCGGCCACACCCATGCACTGAAGCTCCTCCCTGCCACACCCCAAGGCGGTTGCCGGAGCTTAAGCCCCGCCCCCAGCAGCGAGAACATCCCACCCCTCCCCCCCCCCCCCCCCCGCAGCCAGTGCTCCTTGTCAAGCTCCCCCCGTCACTCCAGGTGGGAGCCACCCCGGTGAGGGGGTGTGCCACTTGTCCCCAGGGCACTCCTCTGGGCATCCCGGGTGGGGGATTTTGGGGCCGTGGGGGGCAGTCTCTGGTACCTGTGTGCGTCAGGGATGCTCTGCACCTGCAACCAGGTGTCGTCCACGGGCGGGGGCATGGTAACAGTGGTCCTGTTGATGTCACCGATGATGCTGAGCGCCTCCTTCAGCGCGTGGTGCATGTGCAGCATCTCGTCGTGCTGCTGTGCCTGCTCTGCCAACTCCTCCATCAGTGTGTTCTGGTTCCCACATGAGTACATATTGGCCAGCGGCTCCGAGATGATGAACTCCGGGGTCTGAGAGTGGGCAAACAGGGAAGAAGGTTGGGACCTGGTGCCTGTGCCGCCCTGGCTGCCTTGCTGGGCCCTTCTGGGACTGTGCGCTGGACTTGGAGCCCCTTGGAGTATGGCTTTTCACACGGGCTTCTATACCGCTTCGACTGGAAGATCCACCTCCCCACTGCCTTTTCTCACTCAGATGGGGACACCGAGGTCCAGAGGAAAAGACACCTGTCAAATGTCACAGATCTGGGAGGGGACTTAAGACCTATCATGCCAAGAGGACACCTGTCTACTCAGTTTTTTTTTGGTGGGGCGGGGGGCGGTGATAGGGTCTCGCTCTGTCACCAGGCTGGAGTACAGTGATGACTGCTCACTGCAGCCTCCACCTCCTGGGCTCAAAGTGATCCTCCAACGTCAGCCTCTCGAGTAGCTAGGACTACAGGCACATGCCACCACCAAGCCCAGCTATTTTTAAAATTTTTGTGTGGAGACAAGGTCTCACTATGTGGCCCAGGCTGGTCTCGAACTCCTGGGCTCAAGTGATCCTCCTGCCTCGGCCTCCAGGAGTGGGAGTTGGAGTTGATACCTGGATACAGGAGCTCTGTGGGTGGGAGTGAGGCAAAACACAGGGTCCTGAGGTCTGGGGACCAAGCAATGTCCTCTGGTGAAAAAAATCCTGGACTTGCTGGCAGAAGTTTTGCCTCTTACTTGCCATGTGCTCTGAATACATTTACCTGCCCTCTGGGAGCTTCAGTTTTCTTATCTGAAAAATGAGGACACCTGACCCCTTCCCTACCCAGTTCAGTGTTGTGGGACAGGGTTGCTGTCAAGACAATACCCAGTCCTGCCCTCCTCCCTGAGTGGGCCAGGTAGCCCATGTAGCCTCTTCCCGGCTTTCCTGGGTGGCACTGTCAGCTTGGTGCCCATTCAATCTAGTCCTTCATCTTGCTGGAGCATGGGGAAGCTCTGAGTAACATGGGACTATAGAGTGCAAGAGGGTTGCTGATGGTCTGCGTCCTGTGCCCTCCTCATTCCTGGGCATTCTTGACAAAGGCTCCCAGCAAGTGAGGGTACGCAGCAGCTGTAGACACCAACCTGATGAATATCTCATTGTGGGAAGGGCACCATAGCAGGAGTGGAGCTCCAGGGAAATACAGAACCGAGGTCTGGGAGGTGCTGATGTGAGAGGCCCAAGAAACCTCGGCTTTGCACTTGCTGAGTACCATCTGCACCTCTCAGGAGGGAGAGCGCCAGGCTCAGGAGGTCCTTGCCGAAGCAAGGGAGCTTGAAAAGGGGGCTGGGGTGGGCTCTGCCATTTTCAAGGGCTGACAGGGGTCCCCTCTGGAGGTACTTGGGGCAGTGCTGCGGGCCGTGGCTCCTGAGTGACAGAGTCAGCTCTGCGCCCCACAAGACCGCTCCCTGCCCAGAACTCACTGTGATCATGTGCTGGGTCCAGATGCTCACGCAGCCTCCTGATGGGGGCATCAGGTGTGCTGCCTGCCCAGGACGGCCCACAAGAGTCTGCCCTGCCCTGCCCTGCTATGGAACAACTCCCATTCTGCCTTTGGGGAGAGGTGTTCATTTAAACCATGACTGGGCTGGCCCCCATGGCACAATTACCACAGAGAGTCTGCCACTACCCATGGCTGAGAGCTCTAGTTCTTCTCTGAAGCCACCAGGACAGATGAACAGTGGCTTCCCCCTTTTGGCCGACTCAGCTGCCTTTCATCAGCTCATCTGCTCCTAGGATCCACTCTTCCTCTGGCTGGCACCTGATCTGAGCCCGAGGCTCACACCTCTGCCCACAGGCCCCAGCAGCTGCTTCACCTCCGACTCCATCCCCCACCAAGCACTGCCCCTCACCAGCTACTGGGGTGCCACTAGTGCCCCTACATGGTTCTCCCTCTCCAGACCCTTGGGTCCAGCTCTAGCTTCCTTTGGGAAGCCACACCCCAAGACCCCAGCCCTGCTCTAGGGCCCTGTATCCCCGACTTCCTGCATTCTTCTCCCTCCTTCTGGGAACATGAACTTGCCCTGCCAGCCTGATGACGCCTAGAGGGCAGGACACCAGGTCCTGGACCATGGCAGGCCTGGGAGTGTCTGCTGCCGGTGATGCTGGAGCTGGTGCCCATGTCCACATGATGTCCATGGCACAGTGGCCACCTGAGGCTGGGCGCATCTGAGTGGTGGCTGCAGAGTGGGGCCCTTACCTCTGCCTGAGTGAAGTTCACCAGGTCCTCCCCTGTGCTGTCATGCTGGGCGTGGAAGAGCCGGCCTAGCTGGAGGCCCCGCACCACATGGTAGAGCAGGAGCTGGGGGTCGGTGCCTGCTGGCTCTGAGGCTCTGGCTGCTGAGTGGCTGGACGGACTCTGCCAGAGGCAAAAGGGGCCATCAGCCTTTGTGATCCAGGCCGAGGCCTGTGGCTGCAGAGAGGCAGTGTGACCCTGGCATGCCACCCTCAGCTCTGCCCCAGCCCCCTGCACCCAGGAATGCCCACAATCAGCACACCCACCTGGGCAGTCAGTGTCTGGCTGCCCTCCAGCGAGTGAAGCACTTGCTTCTGGGCCGTCACTCAGAAGCTAAGTGTCTGGAGGAAGTATGTTCACCGTCAGAGAGGCCAAAGTGGATGCCTCTGTCCAGGGCCCCTGGGGACAAGGGTGTTGGGTCCAGCTGGCCTGAACTGGCTCCCCACCTCAGGGTGCCCCCGTGGGCAGCAGAAACCTGGGGCTCGGCCCTCAGCACCCACCTCTGTGTGAGAACAGCACGAGCCCACCATCCAGCTGGGTCTGCATGAAGCTGCGCACCTCAGTGCCCGGCACCGCCCACCGCACTACCCACCCATTGCTGGGCTGCTTAATGGTGTACACCAGGTCCTTGGGCCCAGAGTAACCATCCATGCTCCTCAGAGCCTCTGTAGGGATGGGCACGGTGGCCCCCTCCCACGTCTGGGGACACAGGCCTGTGAAGGTTCTGCCCTGCCACACTTACCCACCCCTTCCTCCCCGGCCCTGGGCTGCCACCAGGGCTCCAACCCCACTGAGGCTCAGGCCCTCAGGTGGCATCAAGGCTGGCGCTGCTGTGGCTCCCCTGCACAAATGGCCTCCCTGCATTCACCTTCCCTGTCACCCCAGGGAAGGCCACCCTCCAGGCCCAGCATCCCTGCTCTTCATCTGTCCTAGTCCTGTGTGTCCCTCAAGACCAGCTTGTGTACCCAACCCAGGAAGGCCCTAGCTCTTACCCTCACCAAGTTCTCACCCCCAGAAACCCCCAGCGCTGACCAACAGTGCTCCTTAATCTGTCTCACTGGTGGGGCAGCAGTCTCCTTTCAGACCCTCCATGTGTGCCTGGCAGGGGCTGGGCACAGGTGGGAACAGTGATTTTAGAAACGAGCACTCCTTCCAGCTAAGGGAGGGGTGGGAGGCGCAGAGAGCTGAAGCCTGATGGTTGGCACTGTCCTGCAGCACAGAAGCAGTGCTGGGATGGGCCCAGGTGCTTCCAGAGCAGTTACGGGCCCTCCTCGTGTTGGGCAAAGGGGGCCCCTTTTCAGGCCTCCCACTAGCAAGCAGAACAGGCACCCGTTCCTGAGGTCCTGGTACCAGTCTTGCTGGGTCAATTACTTGTGGGCAGTGCTGCAGTGGGACTCACATGCCCAGAAAACAGCCCTCTGGCATTCCTGGGCTTCCTCCCCTGGCCGCAGGGAGCCCTCAGGCCGAGCCTTGGCAAGAGGGGCCATACTGTGGGAGGCAGGGCCCCATCACTGGGCTCCCGGAACAAACACGGGTAGATGGCACCACCTGGTGGCCGCACTGCCACAGAGCCATCCCAGCCTGTGGTTCCAGGGTGCTGTGTCCCACTCTTCTGTGGCCTCCGCACCATGAGGCCACCCCCTACAGGCACATCCTAGACCACCAAAGCCCCCCGGTGCCCCATGTCAGAGACAGCCCAAGTCAGCCCTCTTGCGGAACCTTCAGTGGCTTCTGCTGACTGGGGAGGACGCGCCCCAGAAGCTGGGGTTCAAAGCCCTGCCACTTGGGCTTAGTAAAGCCATGCCCTTTCTGTTCCACCAGAACTACTTTTGCAATCATGGAGAAGTTCCATCCCATGTCTGGGCCTCAACTTCCACCTTTGCCAAATGGGGGCCCTGCTCTGCTGTGGACAAGGGGCAGGAGTTTGGGAAGCCAAGCTGAGGCCTTCACTTGCTGGGGTGAAGGTGGGAAGCTTAACGGTCCCACCCTGACGCCAGCCCTTAAGGGCTTGTAAGTGATTCTTTCAGGTGTTCTGGTCCTAAGCCACAGGAGAAGGAACAGCAGAGCCACCCATGGCTGCTCAGAAGTCTGCCTGCCGTACTTGCAAATGTCCAATAACAAAACCTCCCGCCTGTGTTCTATTTCAGCACAATCTCACATCTCTCCTTCCAACAACTGCGTGAGGCACACAGTAGTGTCCTCATTTTGCAGAGGAGGAAACTGAGGCTCAGAGGGGGGGAGATCTGTGCCGGGAAGTAGGGGACATTGGCCTCTTTCTCAAAGCAGACATTGGGGGTGGTCCCAGGAATATGCTCACCTGCAGGCCTGAGTTTGTATGAGGTCGGGGGTTGGCCATTGACAGGCAGGATGGTGACAGTGAAGGCCACAGGATGGCTCTGGCGGTCCATCTCAGAGGCATTAGCCATCAGGACAAAACCGTCAGTGTCTTGCTCCCATCGTGCAGGTACTGGATCAGATGCTCTTCCACCTAGGGGCAGGCCCAGGGCTGGCAGTCAGACCCCAGCAGCACCCTTCATGTTCTGCCTTTGGGTGCAGGAAGAGACTGACCCTTTTAGGGCCTCAGCTTCCATTGGTGGAAAATGGGGACCATAAGTTCTGGTTCCCAGAGGAGTTGTGAGGAAGAAAGGGGATATTTTATTTTATTTTGAGACAGAGTCTCTCGCTCTGTTGCCCAGGCTGGAGTGCAGTGGTGTGATCTCGGCTCACTGCAACCTCTGCCTCCCAGATTCAAGCGATTCTCCTGCCTCAGCCTCCTGAGTAGCTGGGACTACAGGTGCGGGCCACCACACCCGGCTAATTTTTTGTATTTTTAGTAGAAACAGGGTTTCACCGTGTTAGCCAGGATGGTCTTGATCTCCTGACCTCCTGATCTGCCCACCTCGGCCTCCCAAAGTCCTGGAATTACAGGCATGAGCCACAGCGCCCAGCCCGAGATACAGCATCTAAAGCATAGGTCTTTCTGAAATGTGACTCCCTGTCTCCTCTCTGTATAACCCCTGGACTGGGAGTCCCCGGGGCTCCCTCCACTCTGCCCCCAGAGCTGGGCTGCAGCCCCTGGGCCTCTCTCACAGCCGTACCTCTCTCCAGCAGAAGGTGCTGAGGGTCCTGGCTTGAGGCCCATCCTCCTTCTGCAGGGCCCCATGCCGGGGTGGCTCCAGCACCTGCAGGCCAAGGCCCGGGAGAGTGGGGAAGTAGGACCTGGCAACGCGGAGCAGTGGAGGGGCCAGGGTGCAGCTGCGACTGTGCCCCCTCTACTGCTGAAGTTTTGTGCCCCCAGTGGGGATGACAGCAGGCAGCACCTCCAGCTCCACGTGACGTCCTCAAGGGGAGCACCCAGGCCGAGGCCACATCCAGCGAGAAGGCATGGCTCCGGGCCTCAGGGCGGGAGTGCAGGTAGAGGATCCTGCCTGTGTCCACTGCCTCTTGGGAGAAGCTCTGCACGGGGTCCAGGCTGGGTGGCTCATCTGCCAAGATGCCACGCAGCACCATCACCAGGTAGCCGGCACTCGGTGGGCTCTTCACTGAGAAAACGATGTCTGCTGGCGGCACTGCCTCCTGGGCTACCTGGTTAACAGAGGTCATGAGGACTCACAAGGGAATGCGCAGAGGGGTCTCAGAGGGGCCCACTGTGGCCCTAAGCAGCCAGAACAGCCTTGATCTTGCTCCACTTATTTCCCCAGATACCACTGCTCATTTAGTGACACACACACATGTGGGTTCACACACACAGCAGCCAGACATGCAGCTGGTCATATTTTTTGTTTTTTTGAGACAGGGTCTCACTCTGTCACCCAGGCTGGAGTGCTGTGGTGTGATCACAGCTCCCTGCAGCCTCAACGTCCTAGGCTCAAGGGCTCAGCCTCCCAAGTAGCTGGGACCACAGTCATGTGCCACCATGCCTGGCTAATTTTTAAATGTTTTGTGTAGAGATGGGGTTTCACTGGGTTGCCCCAGCTGGTCACATGTTAATACCCACCCCACACATGGTTACGGGGTGTCGGTCACACAGCTTGAGATGCACTCCCTCAGGGAAGTGCATAATCACATGTCCCCAGACTCAGTGACACAGACATATGAGTTCATCAGATGCCGATGCAGTCACACAGGTACAGGTACACATGCGTGTGTGCACACGCACACAGGCCCCCTGCTCAGGATCTGTTCAGGCCTGTGGCTGGTTTGCTGGCAGCATCCTCCCCAACCCCTGCTATTACCACCCAGGACCATCAGAGGGTGCCCTGCCCCACCCCACCCCACCCCTCCTAGAGGCACAGGCACCCCCAGCACAGGCCCTACAGAGCTCACACCCCAAAGGCCACATGGGCTCCCTCACCTGATGGGCCATCCACAAGAGGCTAAACTGCCTCCAAACTCACATTCCTGTTTTGTGCCTTCGGCCGGAATGTTCCTTTTGCATGGAATACCACTCCCCATTCTCTGCTCCTAATGGCCTGTACTCTTCAGAGCCCGGCCCAAACACTGCCTCCTCCCATGAGGCCTTCCTGATGCCAGATCTGCTGGCTCACCATGGGCCCCAAGCTCCAGATGCAGACCAGAAGGGTCTCCGAAATAAGCAGTGTGGAAGAGTAAGGCTGAGAGCGGGCAAGGACTGGCCTGAGGTCACAGGGCATGTCAGATCTCTGGAAGGCCCGTGGCTGCTCTGTGAGGTTCCTGGGTAAGCAGAAGCCCTTGACAGACCCTCCTGGTCCTGGTCTGGGCTCTGAGAAGAGAGCAGGCTACACAGGGGTCTGAGAGGCAGCGGCCTGTCTCCACGGCCAGCAATCCCAAAAGTTCAGGACCCGTGATGCCCTCCCAGGGAACTGACTGCAATGCAGATTCTCGGGCTCCACTTCAGAGATTCTGTAGGGCTGGGTGGCGTCCAGGAATCTGCATGCTCAGCCATGCCATGGACATGAGTGGGCACCAGCTCTAGAGGCACACACCACTCCCAGGAGGATGGGTGTACAGCAAGCTCCCCAGAAACTCTTGGGAACACAACATATATGGGAGCATATCTGAGGCACGTGCACACACGCAAGCTGGGACCACCACAGGTACAGCCCAAGTCACATGTGTTCCCGGCATGGAGGCTGGGAGGAAGGCCCTCTACCTGGTCCACACCCCGCTCACCACCTCCAGCTCCTCACCTCCAGCTGGTCCCTTCTGATCTCAGCTGCCTCTCCCTGGAAGATGTAGATCTTCTTGTGCTGGGCCAGCTTCAGTGGGGCTACTGGGCCCTCTAGGGCAATGGTCACTTGTAGGGTGGCATCTGTGTGCACTGGTCCCACATCCATTGAGAAGGCCAGGGTGTTGCAGGAGCTGAGGCTGCCATTGTGGCCATAGGGAACAGCCCCAACCAGCAGGTCCTGCTGAGAGAAGGCTGTGGCTGGCTGAGTGGCTTGGAGCAACTGTCCCCAGTGAGGGCTGTCTGTGACGTGGTAGTGGGCCTCATCCCTACTGCAGATGTTGAGGTTGGTGCCCAGGTGGAGCTCGGCCATGTTGATGGTACCCTGGCCTCCTTGAGGAACCATGAGGCCGGAGCCATTGGCCACACAGAGGTAAGGCTCCAAGGCCTGCACCTCCAGCACCGTGATGGCCTGGTGCTGCCCATCGGACACCTGCAGCGGGATCCAGCCGTGGTCAGCCTGAGTGTGTGAACAGGACTCGCCTCTTCCTGAGGCCCCTCCTGGATGAAGCGGCAGATGGGCTGCATGGGCTCATCCGTGGCCATGATACTGCCAGAGAGGAGGTCCTGGTGGGTCAGCACCAGCTGGGCCTCAGCAAAGCCCGAATCAGCATTGCTGAAGGCCATGTTGTCTGTAGTCAGCAGCCGCCACCTACCCCAGGCCACATGGAAGACGCAGCTGATGGTCTGCATAGGGGCGTGGTCATTCACAGGCTGGATGGCCACTCAGAAGACACCCCATACCTCCTCCCAGGCCACGTCACCACTGCTCTGGTCCTGGTGGCAGCAGGAAATGGGATATCATCTTCTGTGATCTCGGAGTCATCATGCTGCTAGACCAGCTGGCCATGCATCAGGTCTCCATTGGTGAAGGATGTCACCATAGTGATCTTGTCCTGTGTCCCACGCCAAGTCAACCTCCCATGGCGGGGCTGCTCCATGACCTCATAGAGGTACCTGGCACTGTTGAGACTCTTGATGAAGAGCTGGTCAGCAGAGAGGACACACTCACCACCCTCGGGCACCATGAGGACAGGCATGTCTGGGTCACCGCCAATATGGATGGAGAAGGTACAGAGTGGGGAGAAATATGGTGGAGCTGTGACATGGAAACAGAAGGTGTCCTCCACTGCCACTGAGGCACGTGCCATGGCCCCATAGGTCACCTCTGCAGCCTGTACGTCATCCTGGGTGAAGCCCTGACCGTCTGACATCATCGTGCCCTGTAGTTGAAGGTTGCCTTTCCTGGGAGCCTGAACCACCTCACAGTGGAAGGTTGGGGGGCTTGGGCCTGCCTCCTCCAGGGTGGCCTCCAGGTGGGCTGTGGTGAGGGCCTCCTGCTGGGTGTTCTGAGTGTGCAGTGGCTCCAGCTGCAGCATCCACACAGTGGCTCTCTGGATGGTCACTAGGAAGGACAGATTGCTCAGGATTTCCCAGCTCACCTGCACCTGCAGATCCAGGTTCTCCACGGTGTCCTCGGTGTAGTGCTGTGGGTCAGTGCTCAGGTATCTCACGTGGCCCTGCTCCACATCCTGCTGGTGGAACGCCTGTGTGACCCACCACTCAGCATCCTCCACCCCACCAGCCCCCTGCTTCTGCAGCTCCCTGAACGGCAGGCCTCCGGTGACATGGAACAGCACGGTCACATCCTGCCCCACGGCGCTGGTCTCCACCAACAGGTTGGTAGGCAAGATGGGCATGGCAGAGCCCTGGGCCAGATGCAGCCCTGTGCTGCGGTGGATTTGTATGGCCAGCTGGACAGCCACCACCTTCAGCATGGCCGGGGGGCTGGCCTGCAGTCCATTGCTGACCCGGAATGTCAAGTCCTGTGTAGGGCCACCGCAGTGGACATAGACTAGGCTGCCGGCCTCCAACTCCCAGCAGGAGAACTCAGTCACCGGCTCCCCAGGCTGGTCTCGGTGCTCCACGGGGAGGCCAGAGGGGGTGCCAAGGAGCTGGAAGGTGAGGCCCTCACAGGTAGAGTCCAGGTCATAGGCCTGGAGAACCTCAGGCCCCAGAGGCTTGTGTGTGTGTTCCAGGATCACCATAAGGCTGCCATGTGGGAAGATGATGTGGGGTGGGTCATTGACAGGGTTGACCTGGATGGGCAGGAGGTCTGTTTGGCCCCTCCGCAGGCATGAGGGCATAGGCACCCAAGCCATCACTGACACCTCCAGCACCAGCTGGTCAGAGGTGTCCTCAGGGCCATCGTGGATGAAGCGGGCCTTGCAGTTCACCACGTCCAGAAGGGTGAACATTTTTCATGCCTGGGCACCCAGGACATCCAGCTCGAGCTCGCTGTAGTGTGCCCCTCAGGTCACGCTGAACAGCACCTGGGATTTACGCAGTTCAGCCTCCATCAGTGCCAGCATGGGCTGCACATGCCACCACTCAAGCCAGGCTGTGCCACCCTCGGTCACCACCACTGCACTGATAGCAGCTGGATGAAATTGGCAAAGACAGGAGGTAGCCCTGGCTCAGGCACGCATGGCTCAGCTAGCTCCACGGACAGCCAAGCCTCGGGAGCCAGGGTGGAGAAAGCTTCATAATGGCCATAGGCATTGTCCTCATACTCCTCCACCTCCTCCAGTCTGCAGCCAGCCACCATGTTGTGCGTCAGCAAGGCTTCCCACAGCCCCTGCCTCTAGCCATTGACACTGAGGTCTTCCATGCAGCCAGCCCAGCAGGGAGGCATTGGCAGCCCCTGGTGTCAGGCCTGAGCGGTGTTCCTGGAGGTGACGAGAGGCCTCTGCACCAGCTCCCCAAGAAGGAGACTGTCACGTGGCTCCAGGTAGCTGAGGACTCCTCGGTTCAAAGTACATGTGGGGTACTGGTCCATGGAGATTTCTAGCTGGTGAATGTTGATGTGGATGCTGACCTTGTGGGGCTGTGCGTCAGTCACAGGCACACTGTTGAGGAGCAATACAGTACCCTGGCCCTTCTCAACCATGGACCACAGGTGGCCCTCAAATATGTCCACATGGATGAAGTCCCCATGCCAGCCTGCTGCCTGGAAGGCCAAGGGTGCCTGCCAGCTCTGTGTGGTGAGTGTAAACTCCAGGGTTCCTTCATCCTGAGTGCCCCAGGCAGGCAAGGCAGCCAGAGAGTGGGACCCAGAGAAGCCCAGGGCCACATCGTCATTGGCAGAAAACTCTTCAGCACAGCCCTCATGCTTATTGGGGGTCAGAGGCTGGAGGAGTCTGCGGCCATTGAGAGCGGCTGCATGGAGGCAACCCCTCAGGGGATGGCTGGTTCCCCTCAGGTAGGGCAGGCCAAGTCTCCCAGTGCTCCCAACAAAGAGCCCATAGGGGACTTCTAGGGGGGCTCCCAGGACTACAGAGGAGGCATTCAGAAACCCATTGACTGACAATGTGGGCCAGTCCTCTGAGACAGTCAGAACTGTGGTGTGGGGGACGGAGTCACTCAGTAGAATTTCTGCTGGGGTCTGCAGCCTCAGCTCCTCCTGGCCCAGGACAAGCCTGACCTGAGGAGAGACGGGGAATGGGAGATGGGGGGCAGCACTTTGAATCCATCATTTCCCTTATAAAAGCACAGTGGGTTCCCCACAGGGGGCCCCAGAGCAGAAAACCTAGGACAAGGGCCTCTGGTGCCACTCCTCTTGCCTTCCTGCCATCTCTTTATTCATCCTCTAAACACTCACCAAAGGAAACTCTGGGCCAGGCCTGGATGGGCTCTGGGGACCCTGGTGTGAATCAGATGTGGTCCTTGCCCACAAGGAACTGACATATAGCAAGATGCTCTTCTAGAAACCCAACCTGTATTTTTAAATTCTCCTCCTCTTTCCTTGAGTGAGAAGCACCAGAAATATTGTCTTGGAATCTAGATTTCACCCCTGGAATAATGGGTAACTGAGAATCCGTTGATCAGTCCCCCTAAGTTTGGCAAAGTTTCTCGAGGTCACTGAAGGAAGCCAGGCTAACTGTTCAGGGACAGGGAGCCCAGGCAGATGCTCTGTGTTCTGGAAAAAAAAAAAAAAAAAAAAGCTGCCTGACCTGTGGTGGAGGAATATCTCAAGGAGAGATGAAGGACATAGTTCTGTCACCATGACATTGACACAAGAAATGGCTCTGGTATGGTGCTCCCAGATGCTAGAATAGGTGATGGCAGAGTATGGGAACTGCAGAACCAGAACACTAAGAACCATGATCTTGGAGTCCTGGTATGGTGCATCTCTGTAGGGATGTGGCATCACTACCTGCACAGCTCAGCAGCCATCAGCACCAGACTGCACCACATAGGTGTTCAACAGTGACACCTTGTGGCAATGAGCAGCAATGACAGCAGCAGACTGACCAAGCCCTAGTCCTCTTCCCACTGGGGTGTGGAAAGAGATGGCTGCCCCAAATTTGTTAATTTGTTTTTTTTTTTCCTTCTAAAATAGAGATGGGGTCTCATTGTGTGGCTCAGGCCAGTCTTGAACTCCTAGGCTCAAGTGATCTTTCCACCTTGGTCTCCCAAAGTGGTGGGATTATAGGCATAAGCCACTGCACCCAGCCTGCCCCAAATTTGGACTAAGACCCTGGGTTCTTAAACTCTTCCTGGTATGGGGTAAGACTCAAGTAGGAGCCACAAGACTCCTTGATAATAAAGCTTGTGGTGTCTTGAAGGATGAAATGGAAAAATGAAGCTGAGGCAGTACTGGTGCTGTTACTCTCATGGACAGACAGTGGTGCTGCAGATAAATTGGTGCAGTGCCACCAGGATGCGCAGGGGTCATGGGGGCCCAGGAGGGGGTCTCGCCGAGGAGGAGGGGATGCCCACACTGAAACTTCAAGGAGAGACTAGAGTTCGGCAGGTACAGGGAATGGGTGGGTCACACACCTGGCAGGAGGAGTGTGATGACCAAAGGCCTGGCTGCAAGTGACCATAAGATGGCCAGGAACTGAAAGCAGTTCAGTGTAGTCAGAGCACAAAGGGCCAGTGAGGGCTTGTGGTGGGAAACATGGTTGGAAGGAGCCGGTGGGCAGAGCCAGTTCATGAAGGATTTACCATTTCTGAGCTGCTGCTGCCCATCCCACAGTGGAGAACTTGAGACCCCAAGAAAAGTGACTTACACAAGGTCAACAGCCAGCTGGGGTTCACTCAAAGCTAGACAAGGAATCTCGCCCCAATCCCAGGGGGACGTCACTCACCTGCAGGTGTCCAGAGTAGAGCTGCAGCAGGAGGTGGTCAGCTGGGCCTGCTGCCAGGAGAAGGAGGGCTTCGGGTTGGGACATGGAGAACTGCAGCTGCAGGTCTATGTCAGTCAGAGCCATGGCCACAGTCACCTCCAGGTGGTTCTAACCAAAGAAGGAAGCTGTGTGAGAGAGGGAGCTGTGGTCAAGGCTCAGATTCTTGCCTGGAGGAGGCGAGGTGCTGCAGGGAGGGATGGGTGGGTTGCAGAAAGGGGTCCGTGCTGGTGCACCCTCATGGTTCTGCCATACGGTGCTGCCTCTGAGCACTGCCCAGATCCCAGCATTTCCTTGGTCCTGGCACCAGAAGGCACAGCCTCACCTTGTGTCCAGCCCAGACCTTGACTTGGCAGGAGGTCAGACCCAGAAATTCCCAGCAACTCAGGTCTCCTCCTTGGAGGTTCCTGGAGCCAGAGGCCTCTGCCAGCTCTGACTCACCTCCCCTGGGCCCCAGAGGAGTCTCCCTCCCAGGTCTGGCTCCCCGACCTGGCCCAAAGGGAAACATCACTGGCCTGATCACCTGGCTTGGTGGTCACAGCCCCGAGGAATGGAGTTTCTGGAGAATCACCCCCAGGCCAGATCGATCCCTGCTCAGATTCCTTCTCCTAAGTGCCCTTGTGCTTGGGCTCCTGTGCAGCACCTGCTGTGCCATGCCCCACCTCCATGGGTTGGCTGGGGCCACGGCTGGGATCTGGGGGTGATGTCACTGCAGCCCACCTATCCCTGCTTCTCCCTCAGGCCATTCTTCCAGCTGCCATTGAGGGTGGGGGCAGGAGCTTATTGGCCTGAGTTTGCCAAGGAGTAAAGGCTCTCAGGCCAGATGGGGACCATATGCAGTGTCAAACCAAAGTGGGCCCACACTTCCTCCACTACCCCTGCTGTTGCTTCCTGCTAGAGAGCTATTCACAGTCCCCGCTGAGCAGTCAGATCCGGCCCCATTGTTTCCACCGTGGCCAAGGAACCAGGGATGAGAACAGCTCAGCTCCCAACCTCCCCAGGCCACCACTCAGTCTGAGGCTGAAGACAGGGCCTAGAAGGGGCTGAGGGTCTGCTGAGCAGGCCAAAGAGGGCCTCCCCAGGCAGAAGGCCATGTCTGGGCTTGCCTGGGGTTAGTGGTTCTTATGCAGGGCCTGTTCTGTCCCACAGTGTGACTCCTCCTCTTTTGAGTTGCTGCTTCCTCCAGGCAGTTTCCCCAAATTAGCCTCCCTGACTTCCAACCCGATGCCATAATTTCTGGTCTATGCCTTTTGTGGTGATAAGAGCCAAATATAACTTTAACTTTGCCTGCAGATGTCCAGGGCTGGGGGGCAGACAAACACAGGTTAAAAACTGTGATTCATCCCTGTTGGGTTTCCCTCAAACCCCAAGAACAAGCACAGGCTGATGGCCTTGATGGGGTGATCCAGCACCGACCTCACATGCACTGGTCCCTAGCCAGCCTGAGCCAGCTGCCATCTGCTCGAGGAAGTAGCTTCAGCCATTGGAGGAGTTGGAAGTTTGTACACCCTCAGGGCAGCCAGCCCCACCTGGAGGGATATCCAGGAAAGATCCCGTAAGAGCCCCTCGGGTTGAGTTAAATCCCCTCTAGTTATCCCCTCCTCCTGCCAGCACTGCTGGCAACACCAGCACCTTGGCTGGGAAGCTAAGGGAATCAAGTAAGCCCCGCAGACCATATGCGCTGGGGTGGCCCAGCAGTCTCAGCAGGCACAGCACAGCTTGGTGCCAGCAAGAGACAGACCAGGGAACTGCAGGTGGTGGCCAGCTACTGGGGTGCCTTATCTGCAAAGACATTGATTCCTAAGAGCAAAACACAGCACACTAAAGTGAGGGTGGCCATAGCACAAGGGGTGGGGGCACATGGCCCTGCAGGATGGAGCCACCACAGTCACCGGCTGGAACGGCTCACAGCAGCTGCCAGGAGCCAACTGTTGAATTTTCAGGAATTTTGAGAGGCAGGTGATACTGCCCACAGTGGGAATATTTATACCAGGAAAAGAGGCAAATACTGAAAATCAGGGTTCCCTCTCCCCAAGAAAGCCCTTTGCGAAACATTTACCTACCCAGCACCCACGGGGAAGGGGGCACATCTCCCTGTGCCTACCCACCTGTGTTAATCAGGGTTCCCTAGAGGGACAGAACTAATAGGAGATATAGACAGATATAGATATAGATAATAGATATAGATATAGATAATAGATATAGATATAGATATAGATAGATATATAAAGGGGAGTTTATGAAGTATTAACTTACACAATCACAAGGTCCCACAATAGGCTGTCTGCAAGTTTGAGGAGCAAGGAGAGCCAATCCGAGTCTCAAAACTGAAGAACCTGGAGTCCGATGTTAGAGGGCAGGAAGTGTCCAGCATGGGAGAAAGATGTAGGCTGGGAAGCTAGGCCAATCTTACCTTTTCATGTTTTTCTGCCTGCTTTATATTCGCTAGCAGCTGATTAGAAAGATGGTACCCACCAGTATTAAAGGTGGGTCTGCCTTCCCCAGCCCACTGACTCAAATGTTTATCTCCTTTTACAATGCCCTCACAGACACTTCCAGTAGGTCAATACTTTGCAGCCTTCACCCCAATCAAGTTGACACTCAGTATTAACTGTCACACCACCCTTGCACTAAAGGTATACATACACCCACTAGGGCATGGTCAACGTCAGAGATCTGGGCCAGACAGGAACTGAAGTAGATGGTTGGCCCTAACCACTGAACCACCTGCCTGCGGCCTCCTCCCATCAGAAGAGAGTAGAGCCTGTTTGGCCAGAGTGGAATGGTGGCAGAAAGCAGAGGTACTTTCCGGAGCGCTGGGGTCTGAATGGGTCCATTGAGGCTGGGCCCTGCTGCTTCCTGTAGGGCTGAGTGGGAGAGGCTCACAGAGGCTGCCTTGTGCAGCTGGAGCGCATAGCCAGGGAGGCCCCCACTCCAACAGAGGCCTCTGAGGCCTTGCTGGCCGGGGCTTTGGAAACTCTGACAGCGCTGCTTCCCTCACCTCCTGATCTCCTTTTTCTGCCCCTCTTACACTCTCTGAGGGGCTGCAGTTGCAAGAATCCAGAATCTCTGTCTTGGAGGTAGTGGGGGGGGGGGGCAGTTGAAGAGGGGCTTTGAATGGAGAGGGTCTGCACAATAAAGATGTAATAAGCTAGGAGTCAATCCAGAGGACTTCCTGGAGGAGGTGATGGTGGTGTAGAGTCACAGAGAGGGAGGAACAGGCAGTCTCAGAGGACAGCAGCAAGGCCAAGTGAGAGACTGGCAGAGGTATACAGGTCCCCGTTGGCTGGGGTGAGGAGGGTTTCTGCTCCCTCACCCCCCAGAGCCTCTGGCTTATCACAGGATAAAAGCCAGCTAAGCTCCAGGGGCTTTCCAGGAAAAGTGTCTCTTGGAAAGGGTGTGACCTTTTCATCGGTCCTGACAGCACCCTAGAAATAGCTTGGCCTTTTCCCTCCCCTGAGCTCCACAGAGAACACAGCCAGCAGAAGACACATTCCCTGTCATCCAGAAATGGGTTTGATTCTCAGCTGAGGGACAGCAGGACTGGTAGAGACTGTCAGGCCACACAGCTACCTACAGAGCACCCCCATGCTTGGTCGGGGGTGGGAGGGATGGCAGGGTCTGGCTGTCCACAGGCCGGGCATGACAGTGGGGCGCACTGGAAGTGGCGCACTTTGGAGGGGCAATGTCAGGGAAGAGCTTCCTCTTGTTGGGCCACAAGACTCCACAAGGACAGCACGGTGACTGATTCCCAACGCTAGAGGCGAGGCAATCGGTCATGTGTAGGTGTGTGTGTGTGTGTGTGTGTGTGTGTGTGTGTGTGTATACACACACATATGTGTGTATATATATATGAGGGTGTGTGTATACATAATTTATTTATTTAGATGGAGTCTTGCTCTGCCACCCAGGCTGGACCTCAGTGGTGCGATCTCGACTCACTGAAACCTCTGCCTCCTGGGTTCAAGCAATTCTCCTGCCTCAGCCTGCCGAGTAGCTGGGACTACAGTCACCTGCCACCACACCGGGCTAATTTTTGTATTTTTAGTAGAGATGAGGTTTCACCATATTGGCCAGGCTGGTCTCAAACTCCTGACCTTGTGATCTGCCTGCCTCGGCCTCCCAAAGTGCTGGGATTACAGGTGTGAGCCACAGCACCCAGCTATTTATAGATATTTATAGAATATGACCTCAACTATTTAAACATATCTGTAAGGGTATAAGTACTTTGATAACAAAGAAGCAATACATACTGATAGAAACTAGCTATCATGTCAACAGTAGTTATATTAGGTAGAGAAATTATGTGAGATTTTTATTTTTTTATATTTTACTAATCTTCTCAATAATGGTTGCTTATAAGTTTTATAATCAAGAAAAAAAGGTTTCTAAAGTTTTTGCAAAATGGAAAGTTATGCTTCTTTATATACTAAAGACAAAAACAAACTTCCTATTTGAATACCTTTGACTTTTACTGCAGACTTACAGACCCTTGAAAGAAAAGGCAATCCCCTCCCACTAGTTTTGGTGTCATTCTCCCCATCTCTCCCTTCACTTCCACCTTGGTCTTCTTTCTACTTCCCACCTTGGCTAGTGGTCTCCACCCAAAATGCTTGCTTGGCTTAATGGTTAGAATTCAGGGAAAAAGAGATCCCGAATTGCTAATCTAAACTAAGATTATACATGTGGGAAATAATAAAGAGAAACCAGGTAGTAAATAAGATTTGGAGGACTTAAAATACCCAGACTTTAATTCCTCTAAGATTACAGTTGTTAATCATGTTTTTATATAATATTATCACTTACCATTTAATTTCTAAATATAATGTTCATGAGGAAAAGAGAAAATAGCTTGGTTTCTTTCCTCACCGAACTGTTCTCCTTAGTATCTTCTAGACGTTCCAGAACTGATGTCAGATTTGGCTCATCAGAGTCCACAGACCATATCGGTGAAGAAGATGAATAGGATTCCTGTTTAACCCAGAGACACCTATGTTAAATGTTTACATACAGACTAACCCAAATATGCAATTAAACCACACCACTAAATGGCAAGATGACCATGGATTTAAACAAAATGTATCAGGGGGAAAAGGCAACACGTTTAAACCCATGTGAGGAGCTGGACTTCTGAGACAGCCATTCTCCTTGCATAGCACTGTCTGCTGCTACAGCTCATAGAAGTCAACAACTTTCTTCAACACTGGTAGGCAGCCTTTAAATGGCCCTGATCACCCTCACCTCCTGCCATTCACACCCTTGTAAAATTCCACCCCTGGACCTAGTGACTCACTTCTAACAAAGAGAATACAGCAAAAGTAACATCGCTTCTGAGGTGAGGCTACAAGGAGACTACGATGCCTGCCTTGGTCACCCTTCTCCTGCTCTTTCCATTGCTCCCTCTGATGGAAGCCAGTTGCCATGTGATGAGGTGCCCTATGGAGAGGCCCACGTGACAAGGTATTGTAAAAGGCCTCTGACCAATGGCCATCTAGAAACGGAGGCCCAGTCCAGCAGCCTCTGAGATGAATCCTGCCAACCTGATCTTGGAGACAGATTCTCTCCCTATCCTGCCTTGGGATGATCACAGCCACCACCAACACCTTCACTGCCTGGTGAGAGGCCAAGCCAGTGAACCCAAGGTAAACTGGACAGAATCCTGACCCACAGAAACTGAGATAATGTTTGTTATTTTAAGCTGCTCAGTTTGTTACAGAGCAATAGATAACTAACTCAAACACCATAAAATTCTAATATTTTATTCTATCACACAAACCAGGTAATACCAAGTAAATGCCATTACTATACATATATTTTTGTAACACAATTACATGTGATTTTTTAAAAAAGCTAATGAACTATGCATTATGTGCTTTCACCCACTAACAGACATTTCTGCTGTTACTTTGTACTGTTCTCTATTATAAATTGGGGAAAAACCATTATTATTATATATTAGCTTCAGAATAACTAGGTTGAAGTCACAGAAAACAATTTTGCACAAACAACTTTAGGCAACACTGCTTTGAAAACTGTAATCTGAATTAAAGCTGAAGCCACAGAAACCAAATATTTACTGAAGGTTCCTTTTTAAGAAAAACAAGATGGGCCGGGCACGGTGGCTCGCGCCTCTAATCTCAGCACTTTGGGAGGCCGAGGTGGGCGGATCACGAGGTCAGGAGATCGAGACCGTCCTGGCTAACACGGAGAAACCCCATCTCTACTAAAAAAATACAAAAAAATTAGCTGGGCGCGCTGGCGGGTGCCTGTAGTCCCAGCTACTCAGGAGGCTGAGGCAGGGGAATCACTTGAACCCGGGAGGCAGAGGTTTCAGTGGGCTGAGATGTCCACTGCACTCCAGGCTGGCGATAGAGCAAGACTCCATCTCAAAAAACAAAAAAAAAAAAAAAAAGAAAAACAAGTTGTATTGATGGAGGACATCATTAACAGTATATCTCTTCAATAATGGTTTATTTTACTATTCTCATTCTTCTCATTCCTCTCTTACTGTGTTCCAAATCTCTTTACAGGCTAAAAGAAACTCTTCAGAATTACTCCTACAGGCTAAAAGAAACTCCAGAATTACTCCTATTCTTTTTTTTCTTTTTTTGTTTTTTTTTTTGAGACCGAGTTTCGCTCCTGTTGCCCAGGCTGGAATGCAGTGGCACGATCTCAGCTCATCACAACCTCCACCTCCCGGGTTCAAGCAATTCTCCTGCCTCAGCCTTCCTGAGTAGCTGGGATTACAGGCACGTGCCATCATGCCCCACTAATTTTGTATTTTTAGTAGAGACGGGGTTTCTCCATGTTGGTCAGGCTGGTCTCGAACCCCTGATCTCAGATGATCCGCCCACCTCGGCCTCCCAAAGTGTTGGAATTACAGGCGTGAGCCACTGCGCCCAGCCAATCCTATTCTTAAAGAACACCACTTACTGAGTATTGCATTTTCTTCTATAAATTCTTCAGCATACACTGAGAATACACCATATGGACTATTTTTACGCTTTTAATTTTGGGTTTTTTTTATTTTGGCTAAGGAAATTGCAATTAGATTTAGGACTTCATTCTGTTAGGTTAGTATTTTCTAGTAAACTTCAGCGTAAGCAAAATAAAATATGTGTTGTTGCTCTGGACTGAAACCCCTCAAAACCATATTTTAAAAATTACAAAAAAAAAATTAACTGAAATCAAGTTTTTAAAAACCTTGTAGATGAAAAGATATGATATCTAGTACGTCTAAGTACCTATTTCAATGGTTCCCAAAGTGCGGCCCTCAGACCCCCAAGTCCAAACTATTTTGACAGGAATATTAACATGGTGACATTTGCTGTAAGTGTGCAAATACAATGGTGGGTAAAAATGCTGGTACTTTAGCACAAACAAAGGCAGTAACACCAAACTACTACTAGTAGTCATGGTATTCTTCACTATGAACAGGAAAGGTTTAAAAAGGAAGGGTGGGTGGGGCATGGTGGCCTACGCCTGTAATCCCAGTGCTTCGGGAGGCTGAGGTCGACGGATCACCTAAGGTCAGGAGTTTGAGACCAGCTTGGCCAACATGGTGAAACCCCATCTCTACTAAAAATACAAAAATTAGCTCGGTGTGGTGGTGCATGCCTGTATTCCCAAATACTTAGGAGGCTGAGGCAGGAGAATCACTTGAACCTGGGAGGCAGAGGTTGCCTTGAGCTGAAATTGCACCTATGTAACTCCAGACTGGGCAACAGAGCAAAACTCCGTCTTCAAAAATAAAAATAAAAAGGAAGGGCAACAAAAGGTTAGTTTCATTTAAGAATGTCTATGATAAGGTTGGGAATTTTGGCTCATGTCTGTAATTCCAGCACTTTGGAAGGCCCAGGCAGGGGGATCCCTTGAGCCCGGGAGTTCAAGACCTGCATGGGCAACCTGGTGAAACCTCATCTCTACAAAAAATACAAAAATTAGCTGAACACAGTGGCTGCATGCCTGTAGTCCCAGCGTCTTGGAAGGCTGAGGCAGGAGGATTGACTGAACCCAGAAAGTTGAGGCTGCAGTGAGCTGTGATTACGCTACTGCACTCCAGCCTCAGCGACAGAACAAGGCCATATCTCAAAAATTAAAAAAAAAAAAAATGTCTATGATGAAGCAGTGAATATTTTACTATATCTAAATCCTTGAATATATCTTTTTAATATTTCAAGTGATGAAATGGGAAGTATACATGAGCATTCCTACAGGCTGCCTGAGAAAAAAACCCTTGAGTGACTAAGTCATGAAGTGAATTAACCACTTTAATGGAATACCATTTTTACTTGAAAGGCTGACTGACAAAAAATGTTATTTTAACTCGCATTTCTGGCAGATATTTTCTCAAAACATGAGATTCTGTCATTTCAAGGAAAACAACAGACAGGCTATAATAAAATTCAATAACAAAATTACTAATAAAATTCAAGCTTTTGAACAAAAAATTAGAATTTTAGAAAACTTATGTCCACCATCACTTTCCAAAAGTATTCTGATGAGATTGATGGTGGTATTGATGAATGTATTTTGATACTGTACAATCAAATGTATCAACATGTAGAAGATCCTAGTGAACCACTATTTTATAAGTGACCAATGCACGATGTTGTAATATCATGCAAGGGTGGAAGATCCAAAGTTCAAGAAAAACCAAGATTTGATGGAGTATCAAAAAAGAAGCCTAGGCAACATGGCAAAACCCTGTCTCTACAAAAAATACAAAAAGTTAGCCAAATGTGGTGGTACACACCTGTAGTCCCAGCTACTCCGGAGGCTGAGGTGGGAGGATCACCTGAGTCCCCGGAGACTGAGGCTGCAGTGAGCTGTGATCACACCACTACCTTCCAGCCTGGGCAACAGGGCAAGACCTCATCTCAAAAAATATATATATATCCACAATGATCTAAAATGTTATCTGTATGAGATTGGTCTTTGTTCACATTTTTTCAAGAAAATATCACACAATAAATTGAATGCAGAAGCAAACTGACATATCAATTTGCTAATGACATGTCAAACATCATGCAAATGACATATCAAACATCAAAAAAATTTGCAAAAGATGTAAGATTGTACTACTTTGGGTTTAGAAATTTTCTTTTCATAAAAGCATTTATAACAATATGTGGTGAGCTTTTAAAGAATATTTTAAATATTTCTGATTTAATTTCTAGTGATAAATACCAATAGATATACCCTACATAAACCAAAGCTCCTTGGGCCCTCAATGTATTTTTAAGAGTGTAAAGGAATCCTGACCCCAAAACTTGGAGAACTGCTGCCTTCCCCTCCACTTTCTTGCTTCCCTAGAATTTCTTCCTTGGAAGAAACATCCTTTTGCCATTCTATATTAACTTACATAGTTCCACTGAGGCAAGTTTTGCTACCTCCCTCCCATCTTTCCACCTCTCTCTCAACACAAAGCCTGACCAAAGGATTCTACCAGCCCACCCCATTTCCAGTGATTAGCTGTCAGGTGGGCTAAGCCAAACAAATCTGGGTTTTCCCTGAGACTAGACCTCTCTTTCTGGGAGAGATGGAATCACAGGGACAAGGTTGGCCACCTTGGGGTAGTGAGAATTCATCCTGCCTAAACAGGGAGAATTCAAACAAGTTTCTAGAAAGCCAAACTACTTTCTAGAAAGTCAAAGATAATTATATTTTTTGCCATGACTGTAAGAATGCCCATTTCATTGCACACTTTCTAACATTTTTACCAATCTGATAAATAAAAGCTGGTACTGAGATGAAAAAAAGGCTGGGCACAGTGGCTCACACCTGTATTTCCAACACTTTGGGAGGCTGAAGTGGGCAAATCACCTGAGGTCAGGAGTTCAAGACCAGCCTGGCCAACATGGTGAAACTCCGTCTCTACTAAAAATACAAAAATTAGCCAGGCATGGTGGCATGCGCCTGTAATCTCAGCTACTCGGGAGGCTGAGGCAGGAGAATTGCTTGAACCCAGGAGGTGGAGGTTGCAGTGAGATCACGCCATTGCACTCCAGCCTGGGCGACAAGAACAAGACTTCATCTCAAAAAAAAAGAAAAAAAAAGTTCCCATACAATATAATTTCTTCCATCTCTGGAAACAAATTCAGCAATGAGAACTGAAAGTCACCACGTGGAAGGTTTCAAGGATTTACGTCTACCTACTGATGTCTAAAGCATTAGTTAAGTTACAAAAAAATACGCACACACACACGCACGCACACACACACATACCCGTATGTATTCAGTACCAGAAAACATGACTGACTACATGGTAAAGTCATCCAACAGAAAGCACACAATAACTGAAGGCAATGTAGAGGAGTAAGTTATAACATGGATCTACAATACTGTTGAGTGAAAAAGCAGATTACAAACAAATATCTGATTTTTAAGGGAGAGGAAACATATATAAGCACAGGAGAAAAGAGGTGAGCAGATGACTGGAAAGATACAAATTTCTGACAGTGGCACCTTCTGAGTGGTAGAATTACATAGGTAATATTTTCTAGTTTTGCCTAAAAGTTTTCTAAATTTCTTAAAATAAGAAGGTTTTGTTTTCCATATTACAAAATATCCATCACCCCAGGAAATTTAACCTTCGGCACAAACTCTACATGTTCAAAGTTTGTTCAGTTGAATATTTAAGAGACAATCTATTTTGAAAGACATTTAAAATGACCAATATTTAAACCTATGCATTAATATTTTTCAATCACGTTTTAAATTTTGTAATTTTGATAAGTTTTAGATCCATCTTGAAAAGATAAATTTTCTGTTTGTCTTTAAAATATTACCTACAATATGCCTGTTTTTATACAGTTAATGGTGCTCAAAAATCACAATATAAATTCAGGCAGTGTTCCTTCTATAGAATGTGTAAGTGCTTCTAATACTGCTCTTTTTCACCAGTTATGAAAACACGGAACAATTATCTAAGCATCTAATTATTCAGGTCCTTTGTTTCTCCTCCATTCTGTTAGTTTTATACTAATTTCAAGGCCTGTGAAGATGAAGTTGTCTGTGACAGCTACCACAAAGGTTACTATAAGCAGACAAATTTCCAGCAAGTTTATCACCACTACCATCCCACCATAAAACTGTCTCAATCAAGGGCAACACAATTCAAGGTTAGTCAAGACAACCTCTTTACCTGTCACTGCTTAAGAAAAGGATTTTTTGGTCTTATTTAGAAATAACTTTATCTATTTTTCTCCATAATTCCACTGAGACCAATGTGTGCCTCTATCTCAAGCACCAGCAAGCAAAACTGCCTGCCAGTATGTTCAGTTTTTGTATCTTTCCAAATGTAGGGCACAGCTATCTTTTGATATCATAATTTTTTGAAAACTGATGCACAAACTTCTTCTTGAAAGTTCAGCCAGGTGCGGTAGCTCACACCTGTAATCCCAGCACTTTGGGAGGCTGAGGCAGGCTGATCACGAGGTCAGGAATTCAAGACCAGCCTGGCCAACATGGTGAAACCTGTCTCTACTAAAGCTACAAAAATTAGCCAGGTGCGGTGGCAGGTGCCTGTAATCCCAGCTACTCAGGAGGCTGAGGCAGGAGAATTGCTTGAACCTGGGCAGCAGAGGTTCCAGTGAGCCAAGATTGCACCACTGTACTCCAGCTTGGGTGATAGAGTGAGACTCCATCTCAAAATAAAAAATAAAAAAAAGAATTTCAGATATACAGCAGCTGTAATTCTTCTGAAGGCTGCTTATGGGACACATTACTTTCATAATTTGCTGTTCAATAAATGTGGGGTGGAGAATAAAGTAAATTGACAGAATTACCATATAAAATAAAATTCTAAGTCCTCTGACAACAAAAGAAACCACACACACACACACACACACACACACACACACACACACACACACACACACACACACACAGCTTTCCCTGCTAATCATTTTACAACAACCAAGTAGCTAACCCAGAGCCCACAAAAGCAGAGTAAAAATTCTAACACTTGGTAAAATAAAAATGCACATATATCCCTGTCATCTAAAAAAAAATGCTTACATATTCAAAGACAGCAATTGTAGCTACTGAGAACATCATTGTAAGCAAACTGAGGCAGAGAAAACAAACGTGCTGATGAGGATTTGAAACACCTAAGCTGCAGAAACCCACTGGATGGTTTCCTAGGTTCCGAGTTAGCATTATCTTTCAGAACGATCTTCTAGAAGAGATCACATAACACTGTTACAAAGGATCTGGAGAAAGGGACCCTGGCTTCATCACTCTGGCTCTCCAGTCATGCTTTACATTTTCACTTCTTACACTCTCTTTCATAGGAAGTCAATTTACAGGCCTCCATCAAGCCCTTAGAGACCTTTTTGTACTATCCATGACAAGTTCTTGATGTTATGTCTGCACTTCTGACAAATTCTTAGCAGTTAACTTACAAGGCAGTTAAGGTTTTTGTTCAAGCACAATATAGCTAGAATAGGGTCATACATTCAATAAAACAAATATTTACCAAGCATTTATTGAGTGGAAGATAAAAAGCACAAAGCATAATTATAAAACATTCTCCCCTGCCACCATAAAAATTTTTTTTAAAGCCTTACAGAATACAGCATAACATAACCAAAGCAAAAATAGTGAGGACTAAAGAGGGGAGGAAGGGGAAATATCAGCATGAATTAAATATGACCCAGAAGAGCCTTGATGGTCAGACACGTAAAGACAAATTGGGTAGGGTTAGGGGGTGGCTGTCAGGGGCACATTCTACAGGGGAAAAACAGCTGATACAGAAGCCTGAAAGAAAAAGCGGGCAGAGCACCTGGACAGGACTCTTACCTGCTGCATCCAGGGTACAATGCGCCTTTCCAGAACACAGCAGCGACCCGGGATAGAGGGATTGCTCAAACAGCACCAGAGGCTGCATTCCAACTTTTCCTCCATCAACGAGTCCGTTTTCATTGTTAGTTTCTCCTTAAACACGATTGGCTGAACATGCGGGAACAAGGAAAACCTGACTGAAGAACGAGGCATTTAAGCTTAAGGGCCTTGGATCTGGGCGCGGTGGCTCAGGCCTGTAATCCCAGAACTCTGGGAGGCAGAGATGGGTCATTTGAGGTCAGGAGTTCGAGACCAGCCTGGCCAACATGATGAAACCCCGTCTCTACTAAACAACACAAAAGTTAGCCAGGCGTGGTGGCGGGCTCCCGTAATCCCAGCTACTCGGGAGGCTGAGGCAGGAGAATCGCTTGAACCCACAGACTGTCAAGAGATGGAGGCTGCAGTATGCCGAGATCGCTCCACTGCACTCCAGCCTGGGCGACAGAGTGAGACTCCATCTCAAGAAGCGCCTGCCACCATGCCCGGCTAATTTTTGTATTTTTAGTAGAGACAGGGTTTTACCATGTTGGCCAGGCTGGTCTAGAACTCCTGACCTCAGGAGATCCAGCTGCCTCAGTCTCCCATAGTGCTGGGATTACAGGAATGAGCACTGCGCCCGGCCAAAAAACCGAAAATCTTAAAGGCCTTTCCCCTTCCCTCACTGGGCTCAAACAACAGCGGGAGCCGCCCTGCCACGCCCCGTCGCGGTCCAGGGGAGCAGGCTAGCTGACTGAGGGCGATCATGGGCCCCAAAAGGTCTGCGGGCGACGCGGGCTCCCACCTCAGGGCGCAGCGACTGGGGCGAGAGGTGCCGGCAGCCCCCAAGCCAGCCCCGCGGCAAGGAGCCAGAGAGACGCGCCCTCCCCCTCCTCCCACGCAAGCCTCACACAGCGGGGCGGGCCAGTAGCGGGAGAAAGGGGCGCGCTCGCCCCGCCTGGGGAACCGGGGCCTCTCCCGGGCAGGCTCGCCTTTGTCCCGGGACTCTGGGCGCCTCCTCTCCGCCCTCGCCCTGCCCCGTGAGGCCGCCACTGGGCGCCTCACCGTGATGTTGCAGTGGAGCGTGAGCTGCGGCGGCGGCTCCTGGTTCTTGTGGAAGATAGAGGCCAACAACTTCAGCTTGGCCTTGAACCCTCACACGGACATTTTACTCTCACCTCTGGCGGGAGGGGCGCGGAAGGTGAGCCCGTCGGGAGCCGCTGTCACGGCCGCAACCACCCGCGGGACCTCTCGGCGGCGCTCTCCCAGCTCCGCCTCTCCCTGATGCCTCAACTCTAGTCGGAGTAGGGCTGGAAAATGGCAAGGGGCACCGAGGCCTCTGCGGGGAGCTGTGTGGCGGCCTGGGCGGCTGCTCCCCTTGTAACAGACTCCACCGACAGGAGGCGCTGCTCCTGTCAAGCCGCAGCTTAAAAGGGCAACAGCACCACAGTCCCCGCTACCGCCTGGGAAAGGGCTGCCCCTACCCCGCTCCCGTCCCTCTCGCCCCTCACACCCGTCGCCCCTCACCCCTCAACCCGCGCGCCCCCTGCGCACCCGTTTCGGCGGCTGCAGGAGTCCAGAGCATGCGCGCGCTTCCGGCTGCCCCTCCTGGCCTTGACCCAGCACTGCTGGACCCATCTGGTCCGTTCTTCACACTCGCGGACTGGAGGCTCCGGGCAGCACAACCACCAACTCGTGTGTGTGTTGGGGTGGGGGTGGGGGGCAGAAAACCACCAACTCGTGTGTGTGTGTGTGTGTGTGTGTGTGTGTGTGTGTGTGTGTCTCCCAAGGGAACAGCACTGCTGAGTTCAGGCTATCAGCTCATGGACTGTCAGCAAAATACAGTCACAAGAAGGCTATGTGCTGTTTTGTCTCTTGCAGTGACGTCATGTTGCTCATGTTTTATGTTTTTCAGAGTTCATTAGTTTCTGTTTGCTCTCAGTTAATATCCAGCTCAATAGATTGTGTAAGTAGAATACCCCCAAACTGAAAGTCACCTACATAAAATATAGTGAAAAATATGTCACCCACTTAAACTATAGTTGAAAATATGTACTCATTAGTTTTGTGTAGCCAACACTGGATAATGGGTAAGGGGAAAGGATCCCAGGGCTAGACTGCCTGGGTTCAAGTTCCGATTTCCTGCTGGCTGTGAAATACTTGACAGCGTTCAGCCTCTGTTTCTTTTCTTTTTTTTTTTTTTTAGCTTAATCCCAAATATGATAGTAAGTCTCAGTTTCTTGATCTGAAAAACAGAAATTATTCAATGACAGTCTATGTGAAAACTTTAAAGTTTTCAAAGCCACTATCTAGCTTAGGAAAGTCCTCAGCTTTAGGGGTTAAAGTTTTTAAAACCACTGCCTGGTTCAGGAAAGCCCTCAGCTGTAGCCATTATTAGCTATGATTATTATTGTGGTGGCTACACATACATTAATGAGGCAGGAAAATGCTCAAGGATAACAAGCAAGTATCCAGATTATCTCATCAGACCAAGACAGATGCATATGCATGCATGATCATGTTTTAGCTCAGAGCCATTTGTCTAAAAGGCTCTTGAACTCAGAGGCCCAGGAGTATCAACTTTGCTTTGCAGTGGAGCCATCGCTTTTGTTAATCAATGAAATTGACATAATGCTCTTCTCTTTTTTTTCCTTTTTAGCACCAACCATGTGCCTAGAGCTAACTGTGTTAAGAAGAGCATGCTTCAAGTGGCTGGAGTGAGCAATTCAACTTGTGGAGGAATGAGAAGTGACAGTGTTGAGACAAGCAACATAAAACCCCAGGGTAAGGTAGAAATCACTGAAAGTCAGGCAAAGGAACTGGCGTCCAGTAATGAGTCAGGCTTTGCCAGCCTCTGGCCCTACAGATGGCTCTTTGCAGAGGAAAAAATTAAGCCAGGCCCGAGGGCACAGATCCTAAGGGAATGCTGGCAGCTCTAGGCTGTCTATGAGAGTCCAGAGATGCTGCTTCACCCTGGGGCTTTAGGCAAGTCCCTTTCCCTCCCAGAGCCTCAGCATCCCTTCTAGCAAATGACGTTCTGCCTTTCTCCTAGGATGGCTGTGGGGATCAAGGGAGACAGTGGCCATAGGGATACTATGTTAACTGCAGATGCGGCTGTAGGAGCACTTTGCTAACTTCCAACGTGAGTTCAGACTCTTCAGGCTATTTGGCACCCAGATCTATGGTGAGGTGTGACATATGGGATGTAAAGTTTGATGCCTGCTCCGACTCCAGTCTTGCTAACACACACGAAACCTTTGGTAAATCATGACCCTGCCTTGGGGAAAAGGGCAGTCTGGGAGAGCTTCTTCAAGGCAGCCTGGCTTCAATGCAGTCTGGGGCATGACTGAGATAGGCATACGTGGTGAGGAACTGGAGGGCAACTGGGTAAAGAGCTGCAGTGTGGGCAGAGGTGTAGTGTGGGTCACATCGCGGATAGCCACTGGCCAAAGCAGGGAACAGAGACAGAATGAGGAAGAGCTCTGTGGGGAGGGTGGGGCACAGGGTGGAGAACCTTCAAAGTCCAAAGAGTATGACTTGTTGGGATTCAACGCTGTAGGCAGTAGGGAGCCATGGAAGGCTCTTAGGTGGAGAAATGACAGCCGGACATTAGTGAGCAAGCCCTGTCTCCCTGAGCAGCATGGGTGGTCCTCTGAGCACGCCAGGCACGAGTGTGCAGGGAGCTGGTGCAAATGCCTCTGTGTGCAGGTGAGCATCTGTGTTGTGACTCTGCCCACGCATGTGCTTCAGCGTGCCGAGTGGCTGCACGCCCCAGATCCATGCGGCACGTGCCGGCCGGTGAGGGTGCTGGGCATTGGGAGGTGGCGGGGAGGGCGACGTATGCGTGTTGTTTGTGGGCATGTGTGTGAGTGTGTGCATGTGGGCCGTGGGGCCTCACAGCATGTGTGTGCACACTCCGGCATGTGCGTGTGTGTGTCCCCCACCCCCAGGCCTGCCCCACCCATGCATGTGACCTGCCATGTGATTTGAAGCTGTCTTTCAGAATCACTATCAGTGGCCCCTGAGGAGCGTCAGCCATGGTAGGTACATGCCTCACTGCCTGCTGCATGAATGGTCTGCCTGCCCCGCTGCCCCAGCTCCACACAGGGGGCATACCTGGAGCCTCAGAGCCAGGCTCCCTGCCCCTCCCTTCTGGAGCTGCAGACTTGCTCTTTCCTCTTTCTGTCCTTGTGCTGCTGGCTGTCTCACTTTGCTCCCTGTGAGCCATGGGACTCAGTGCCACTGCTCAAGGTCTCCATGGCTGAGCCTGGGGGCTCTTACAACAGGCTCCATGCCCAAGGTGGCAGTTGTGGAACCATCAGAGAGGGCACAGAGCTCATGGTTTATGGTGTAGGGGCTGGGAGCTTGGAGGGGGTTGTGTGGGGGGCTGGACTCAGGCGGCCAGAGGCCTGGGAACATCATCCTGGGCACGCCGTACCTGTCACGCAGTCTGAGTCATGCTGCCAGGGCAGGTATCCAGCTCCCAGCCTGGGAGTGCCAAGAGCCAAATCCACGGCAGATTAGGGGTGATAGTCACGGTCCCACGTCCTCTATCTGTCAGCAATCCAGTGGTGATCTAGGATAAAAGCCTGAGAGTCCTATACACGCGGTCATCCCACAACACACTTCATAGGCCATGGAAGGACACACAGCCCCCTTCCCTCCCTCCCAGGTACCATGATAGCTGCTAGCGTGCGACTGAAGGCAGGGTCCCTGGCCCCTGCTGAAGCACTACTGCTGGCCAGCAGGCTCACGCACCTTGGCCTGTTGCTTCTAGGGGTTGCCTGTGCTATTCAGCCAATAGTGCTGCTGGCCCAGCTGAGCGCCGCCTAGAGAGCTCACTTCCCTTTCCTGCCACGGAGTCTCCCTCTTCTGCTTTTCCCAGCAGGAAGGGCCCAGCCTCACCTATGTAACCTGCAGCCCCCCGCCAACCAGTTAAGGCTCCCCTCTTAGACTTAGAAGTCTATGGCCAATGGCATCCGGCTACCTGCCCTCCCTGCCTTCCCCAGGGTTCCTCAGAGGACCCTGGGCTTTCTGATGGCCCAGAGGGGCCTCTGGCATTCACTCCAGCCAGCCATCCCTTATAGCTCCACCATTTTGGTTCAATCAGTGTTCCTTCTCTATCAGGTCTGGTGGCTGTTGGATGGGGCTCTCCAAGCAAGAGGTGGCCCTGGGCCAGTGCGTTGGAAGACATGGGGACCACAGAAGAGGGAAGCCCGAGGGAGCTGGCATTGGTCTGAACTGTGGGTGGATGGGTGGATTGCCTGGGTTCCATGAGACAGGCCAGCGTGTGTGGGGTAGGGAGGGCCGCCGCAGTCCCCAGGCACTACCTATGAAGCTCCAGCTTCTCCCTCCATCTCCCTCCCCTTTCCCTTCCAGCCCCTCTTTTCCAGGAACCTTGCCACGCCCACACCTACGCCCTCCCCTCCCCGGCCCTCCACAGCTGCTGCAGCGCACCCATACTCTGCACTTGCCTCACCAGCTCTGGCTTTTCTCTAACCCGTTTTCTCTCTGCTTTCTCTCCAACTGCCAGCTGATCGGGTCAGGCAAGTCCATCCCGTCCTGAGAGCCCCAGGCCCCACTTCGACCTCTAAACACATCCCTCCTCTTCTCAGAGACCTCCCTTTCCAAGCCTGCCTGGGCGGGTGTCCTGTGACTTGACAGTGGCTCCCCCAGCCCCAAAGCCAGCCCCCTTCTTCTGTGACTTAGTCTGTTGTAGTGGTGAGCTGACACGTCCAGGTGTGACCGTTGCTGAAAACTTGTGCCCCCTCTGTGGTATGCCCCTGCCCTGTTCTATAAATAGCTATAAATTCTCTCTCTCACACACACACACACACACACACACACACACACATATATACATATATATACGTGGCCAACTGCCTCACCTCTAGCACTGGGAATCAGTCCCGTGCTGTGCTTGTGGAATCTTGTAGCCCAGCAAGAGGAAGCTGTCTCCTGACATCGCCCCTCCAAAGTGCACCACCTCCAGTGAGCTTCCGGGACATGCGCGGCCTGTGGACAGCCAGCCCCCGCCATCCCTCCCGCCCTTCTGGCCAAGCATGGCGGTGCTGTGCAGGCAGCTGTGTGGCCTGACAGTCTCTACCAGTCCTGCTGTCCCTTGGCTGAGAAACCCATTTCTGGATGACAGAGAATGTGTCCTCTGCTGGCTGTGTTCTCTATGGAGCTCAGGGGATGGAAAAGGCCAAGCCATTTTTAGGGTGCTGTTGGGAGCAGTGAAAAGGTCACACCCTTTTCAAGGGACACTTTTCCTGGAAAGTCCCTGGAGCTTAGCTGGCTCTTACCCTGTGAAGCCAGCTCTGGCCACTAGGGGACAGGGCCCTGAACTCAGCCTGGAGGGAACCTGCGGGGCAGCCGGCACTCTGGAGGGACAGACAGGCCACCCGGTGCAGACAGGAGAGGGAGGCAGGGGGACAGAACGGAAGACACCTGGGGTGGATGGAAGTCAGTGCCCTTGGGCACTGGTATCTGTCTTCCCTGCCACAGCTAGATCAGGCTTCTCAACCAGTTGGCTGTCAGGGCCAGAGTGTACTCCGTAGGCGCCATGGCAGTCCCCATGAAATCCACCAGGTGTCACCAGGCAGCATACAGGTAACAGGCCTGGAAGGTCCCCAACAGCCCAGCTGGACATGCTGAGACACTCTGGGGCTCCTCATTCAGTGGGACAAACTGCAGGACCCAGTGAGGGAAATGGGAACATACCAGGCCGAGCAGTATGGCTAAATCCATTTATTCCAAAATCAAAAGCAAAAAACAAAAAACAAAAAACAGGAGTCCCATCACCAGGCAGCCATGACCCCATCCCCGCCTGCTTCCTCGCTCCTATGCTAGCAATAAATAAGTTTCCCAGCCGCGAATAATTATAAGAACCTCTTCCTCATATGCCAGCTGCAACCTCCGCTAGGTACGATACAGAATGTTACACAGCTACAGTATGTACACGGGGGAAGGGGGGCCACCCCCAGCAGCCTGTGCCCTGGCCTGGTCTACAGTTAACTCCACTGTCCCGCCTCAGCTGCCTCTCTGAGTAAGAAGATGGGAGCCCCCCTGAGGGAAAAGTTGCTTTGGTGAGAGTAAGAAGGCCGTCAGACCTCCTCCAAACAAACCAACTCCACCAACCTCTGGCTCTTAAATAACAAACATCATCATCCAGAAATGTAAGGACTCAGCCTTGGTCAAGGTGGTAAAGGGTCTGTTTGTCTCCCTCCATTAGACAAGGGTCTTGTCTTGCTACCCTAATGGTAAAGGGCTGACTGGGGAGGGGTTGTAGGGACATGGTGGGGGTGAAGACTCCAGACCCACTTCTCCAGGCTTATGCTGACAGGGGCCTGCTTTTATTTATTTTTATTTTTATCCCATGACTTTTTTTAAATCCTGTAACTAATTTTTCATAACTTTTTAAAATAACTTTTCATAAAACTTTTTTTTTACTTTTTTTCCACAACTTTTTTTTGCCACTTTTCCACAGTATTTTTTTATCCTGTAACTTTTTCATCCCACAACTTTAATTCCTGTTAACTTTTTTAGTTTGTGTTCTTTTAATAAACACACTTACATAGTTACAATTTTGTAAGAATAAAAACCGATTACCTCATGCCAAGCATGCCGAGAATTTGCAGAGTCTCAATACCCAATACTATAGTTTTCAAGACACACAAAATTTTTAGGCAAAACAGCACCTTGAAACAATTTAATAATGTATTACATTACAGTAGCATCACAGCAGCAGTCAATAATGCCACTTTAGACAAAAATCAGTATTTCCATTATGCATTCTGTGTATAAGAATTCATAAATCGGTAAAAGTCATTCTAAGAAAACTTGGCAAATACAGCTTTGGACTGGAATTGGCATTTCTTTGTCTACTTTTCCTTCCCCTAGATTCTTTGTTTTAAACTACAGTATTCATATTTTAAAATGTTTTAAATTATTTTAAGACGTTAATATAGCAGTTACATTTTTGAATAGTTATTTGAAAGTGACTGTAAGATAAAGTTTTAGAGAATCTATTATGGATAGGGTTGATTTACATTTTCACATTTTCTAAAAATCAGCTTTGGTTTTAGAACTGATTGTTTTTCATTTTGGGAAAACCTACCAGGTTTAATCAATTACTTTAAAAATAATTATCATATTTTGCAGTCTTTAAATAGGTGTTTTGATTCTTTACTCCCTACAGAAATTCAAATTTATTCAGTTGAAGTCACATTTTAAAATTCTATGTTCCTGCTGAACTCTAACCTTCTAATGTTGCCTTCTAAGCAAATTAAAGGCTGCCTTATACTGAATGAGGTAGAGAACAAATACTTGGCTGAATGAGGTACTGCAAAAGACTGCATGCACTTTGAAGAAAGACTTGAGTTATTGTCATAGGATTTCCATTCTCTTTAGCTTTTTCTTAAACATATGACAAAATACCTACACAGAGTCGTATTTGAATTAATATAGTATATTTATTTTTCAGACTGACATTCATCTTAAATATGCCAGTATGTGATTTAATCCACAGGTACCTGATGAACACATTATTGTCAGATTGGTTACAGTTGCTAAACGCTATCTGAAGGTCATTCCTATTCATTTATACGTGTCAGGGTAAAAGTGAAGCGATTTGAACTATAAAAATACCTTTGAAATAATTTATCAATGTATTAGATAAGCTCAGTTTCAGAATGATAAACAAAAACTGTTAGACCAAATAACGTGGCTAATTAACAGTGGTACGATTTCTAGCCCGAGGGTTTAAAATGGAGTTAAAGTAAGTGTCTTTAAACTGAACTCAAAGAATGCAAAAGCGGCAAGTTCAGAAAAGGCAAGAACAGGACCTTTAGTCCATTTTAAGCCATAAATATTACACAAAATATGCCTCTAACTGAAACTGAGAGGTATAAAAACATATTTCACTCTTCGTAAAGAACTTTGTGAGGAAATATAACTCTGTGATTGTATAGACACTTTCCTCATGACACTTTGACAGTCACAAACAGTAGATTGCGCTGCAGTTTGTAAACATTTTACGTTGCATAAACTGCTCCTTGATTTTCAAATGTAGTATAATACTGTCTACTAAAACTCCTTTTTGTTTCAACTAAGTACTCTCACATATATTAGTTTATAATAATGTTTGTTATTATTTTTAAAGTGTTCTCCATTCAAGGAAAAGAAGTAAATTCCTATGTCAGATGGTTGAAGACTAGCTATTAGCCAGAGAGGTCTAGATGGTAAAATCCATCTTCTAGCCTCAAATAAGCTCCATGAACACAGAGGAATGCCAGGTGTCACACAGCTTTCCTTCACTCGAATTCATTCTTGACTAGAGCCTGTATATGCCTGTTCCAGGGGCATTTAAACTCTTAAAGGATTTCTTCTGATCTTTACTAAATACATTAAGGAGAACGCCAACCAGTGCCCTTTTGTGTACTGGGACATGTAGTCATGTGATTAAAACAGGGAACATGAACTCTGACTTTAAAATGTATTGTAGATATAAATGCTCTCAGCTAGAAAAGGTTTTCCACATCCACAGTCATGATGGGAGCCTTTCATTCCTCAGAAATAATCCCTTTTCAGGTCATCAAAAAAGAGTACAACTGCCACAGCTCATGAGGCAGTATCTTCATGAGCCCAGAGCACATACAAATCCTAAGGGAACTACTGTAGTACAGCACTCATTCTTGGCACTGAAACAAATGAAACATATTCTATCCTGCACACACCTGCCAAAGCAGGCCACTTTCCTCTTCTGGGAGATTTAAAAACCTCCCCAAAATGTTATTACTCCCATCCCCAATACACAGAAAAAGGGGGAAAGGCTGTTTCCAGTGCTCCACCTTTAAACAACTGTAAATGTCAGTACTCACAGTGGCATATTACAAAGTAATAGACCGCGCACTTGAGGGCAAACTGCATATTGAGCTAATGAAGAGCTCACTGTGATTAGGATTCGATCAAACATAACAGCAGAACATAAGGAAATTTTATCTGAATTCCGTAATGAATATACAGGCTGTACTAACATTAAAAAAGCATGGCAGCCTATCCCAAACCAGCAAGAACAGTTGTGTGCATACAGTGGGTCTTTGTGTGTTTGAACTCCCACCACATAAGGGCAAACTCGATATGCATGCTAACGTCCTATAATTATCAAATTAAAAAAATGCTAAAAGATGCCAGAGTGAACATGAGAGAAACACCCACTCTCATTTAACTTTTTACAAATAAATTTAAATTATAAATTAGAAACACAAATAAATTTAAACTATAAATTAGAAACACAAATAAATTTAAACTATAAATTAGAAACACAAATAAATTTAAACTATAAATTAGAAACACAAATAAATTTAAACTATAAATTAGAAACACAAATAAACATAAGTGGCTCTAACATTCAAATGAAGTAAATGAATTGTGTAGGATATTAACCCCTTAAATGTTTTGTTTTTTTTTTTTCAATTCCTTGACCCGCTCTTAGATGATGGTGATGTTTAGCTCCCTGTTCTCCGCAGCCCGAAAAGAATGGCATGCAGCCTCTCCTGCTCCTCCTGCCGCCTCTCCTGTACCAACAGCTTCTCCACTCAAGCCTGGGTGCTCCTGGGGAGTCCTGCATTAGAGGAAGCAGCTGCTGGATCTGCTGTGCAGTGGGGTTGTCATGGGGGAGAACCCTCCCTGTCCTCTCCCGGTGCAGCCTCCATGCTATCAGTGAGGCTCAGCCCACTAAGATCTTCAGAGAGAGGGAGGGGGGTGGGAATCTGGGCACAGTGCGAGCCTCCCCTGCTCCTGCCTGCCCACCCCGCCTGAGGGCTCTACTCACCACCCTGCTTGTCCGCACATCCAAGCTCCTTGTGGGACTGGGGCTCCAGCTACTGGTCTGGCTGCTGCTGCAGACTCGGAGCCTCTTGGCTCTTCAGCTCCACCTGCCGGAAGACCCTGGGCATGAGGACATGTGGTGGCTGGCTTCCAGATTCCTGGCCCATTAATAGGGTAGCGAGGACACTGTGGGGCTCTGTGGCCTGCCCAGGCCCCTGGCCCCTTGCTCCAGGCCTAAGAGACTGTCTCCCTTGCCTAGAACCCCATGCCTCCTTCCCTAGCATCAAATCTCACGTCCTTTTTCCCAGCATTTAAACTGTAGGCCACAGACTGGTGGAAAAGCAGGCGGAGCCAACCACCATCTGCTAAGTGTGCTACATGCCTAATGTTTCCACGTATTATCTCATTTAATCCTCAGCACCTCTGCAAGGAAAAGGCTAACTTCCTTTTGAAGTTAAAGAAACAGAGACTTAGAGATGCAAAGTAGTTGAATTATGACCAGTGGAACCGAGGCCGGAATCCAGTTTGAATCTAAGGAGTCTTTTTTGTTTGTCTGTTTTGTTTTGTTTTGAGAGAGTGTCACTCTGTGTCCCAGGCTGCAGTGCAGTGGTGCAATCTCAGCTCACTGCAACCTTCATCTCCCGGGCTCAAGTGATTCTCGTGTCTCAGCCTCCTGAGTAGCTGGGATTACAGGCATGCACCACCAGGCCCGGCTAATTATTATTATTTTTTTTAATTTTAGTAGAGATGAGCTTTCACCATGTTGGCCATGTTGGTCTCAAACTCCTGACCTCAAGTGATTGTCCTGCCTCAGCCTCCCAAAGTGCTGGGATTGCAGGCGTGAGCCACCACACCCGACATAAGGAGCCTCTTATACCACTGTCTCTTCCTCTGTGATTGGGGGGCTCCATGCCTCTAGCTGGGATGATGATGTCCAGACCTGGGAGGACCCCAGGGCTACCCACCTCTAAAAGTCAGAGGGCAGGAAGCAAGAAACAGTCATAGGACTGCCCCGGAGGGTGCTGGGGTCACCTGTCCCCAGGCTGCAGCTGCCTGTGGCCTGGCACCTCCCCTCCCCAGAGGCTGGTGCCCACCTCCCACATCTTCTTGGATGGGTCGGAGGTTACAGTCTCTTTCAGCTCACCCGACTTCTTCAGCTCCTTTACTTGCTGCTCCAACTGCAGTGTGCTCTTGTTCTCGTTGTTCTGGACAGAGAGAAGCAATCAGTGGCCACCCACTAAAACTGGAGACCCCAGAACTTAGTGTCTGCCTCCCATGGCACCGGGAAGGGTGGAGGCAGGTTAGAAAAATATCCCCTCTCTCCCACAGCCATCAGAGCAGGGCTCTGGCTCACAGATGCCTTTAGAAGTACCATTTCATGTGAAGGCTACAATGCCCCATTTTACAGGTGGGGAAACAAAGGCCTTGAGGGCTAGGGAAGAGGGCAGCCTCCCCAGGTGGGGCAACGCACCAGCTCCTCGAAGCCGCTGCGTGGCTCGGCCCGCTGCTCGTACAGGGCTTCCCACCCCAGCTCCAGCATCCTCTCCAGCTCCCGCAGCCTCTCCAGCTCCCGCAGCCTCTCCAGCTCCTGCAGAGTCTACTGCTGCCACAGCCTCTCATCCTGTTGCCGAAGCCTCTCCTGCTCCAGGAGCTCCTCCACCTCGTCCAGGAGCTCCTCCACCTCGTCCAGCAGCCTCTCCCTCTCCAGCAGCCTCTCCTGCTCCTCCTGCCGCCTCTCCTGTTCTAACAGCTTCTCCACCTCTTCCAGCAGCCTCTCCCTCTCCAGCAGCCTCTCCTGCTCCTCCTGCTGCCTCTCCTGTTCTAACAGCTTCTCCACCTCTTCCAGCAGCCTCTCCCTCTCCAGCAGCCTCTCCTGCTCCTCCTGCCGCCTCTCCTGTTCTAACAGCTTCTCCACCTCTTCCAGCAGCCTCTCCTGCCCTGGCAGCTTCTCCTGTTCACACAGCCTCTCCTCCTGTTCACGTAGCCTCTCCTCCTGTTCACACAGCCTCTCCTCCTGTTCACGTAGCCTCTCCTCCTGTTCACACAGCCTCTCCTCCTGTTCACGTAGCCTCTCCTCCTGTTCACACAGCCTCTCCTCATGTTCACGTAGCCTCTCCTCCTGTTCACACAGCCTCTCCTCCTGTTCACGTAGCCTCTCCTCCTGTTCATGTAGCCTCTCCTCCTGTTCACGTAGCCTCTCCTCCTGTTCACATAGCCTCTCCTCCTGTTCACACAGCCTCTCCTCATGTTCACGTAGCCTCTCCTCCTGTTCACACAGCCTCTCCTCCTGTTCACACAGCCTCTCCTCCTGTTCACGTAGCCTCTCCTCCTGTTCATGTAGCCTATCCTCCTGTTCACGTTGCCTCTCCTCCTGTTCACGTAGCCTCTCCTCCTGTTCACGTAGCCTCTCCTCCTGTCTCCTGTTCAGGAGACTCAACATCTGATTGTTTTCCACCTCAGCCTGGAGCTGTCTTCCCACACTCTCTAGCTCCTTCCTTAGGTGGTTGGTCTCATCTTGTAGCTGCTCTACCTTAGATGGCCCTGCTGGGGGCTCTGGGGCCAGGGGTTCAGCTGAGAAAGGAAGCAGACAATAAGGGCCTCTGGATTCTCAAAAAAAAAAAAAAATCCTCCCTTCGGTGCACAGCTCCTCCTCTCAGGCTTCCCAAACTTGGCCTCACTGCTAATGACTCCTCACACCCGGATGGTAGCCAGTCTTCCAAGTCACTTTCAGATAGAGAGCACTGTGGGTGGCTGACAATGGGCACTCCTCCCTCTTTACTGATGGGGACACTGAGGCTCATGGAGATGACAAGACTTGTCCTCCCCTGGCACAGACCTCTTTCCCTCTGCCTCAAAGCCCTTCCATCCACCCACCTCCCTGGGGCATTCTAAGTCACCCCCACAGCCCTCTAATGCCAGTCCAGCTGCCAGGTCATGCCAGCCCCATCTTACCCGTCTGGTTTTTGAGTTTGAACAAGCTCCTCCCAAGCTTCTGTACCAGATGTATCTCATGCTTCTTCTCCTCCTTAGATGTGCGAACCTGCCCAAAGCAAAGGGGGAAAAGGGCCCTGGAGGGAGGGGCTGGTGAACCTCTAGAGACAGAGTTTGAGAAGGGCCCACCCCCCTTCTGCCAGTTTGTGATTTAGAAACGTGCATTCATTCAACAAACATTTACTGAGCATGTACAGGCCAGGTACAGTTCTTCATAGCAGAGATATAAAACAGCAAAGGACAGACAGGAGCCCTTGGCCCTGAGGTTTCCATTCTAGGGGCCTTTAAATCTCTGACTTTCAGAGCTAACCGAGACCTTTGATACTCTCTACCTCCTCCAGAAACACGAGCATAAAGAGGAGAGATGGCTTGTCCAGACTCAAAAAGCAAATTAGGGACTGAGGCAGGGCAGAAATATGGACCCCTGACAACCAGTCAGGCTAGTGCTTCCCAGAGAGGTGACAACCCCAGGGCATGTGTGGCAAGGACTAGAGCAGGGGTGTCTGGAGAAGAGAGAGTCAGCAAAGAGGGCAGTGCAGAAGACCCATGCTGCATGTTCTGTGCTCTGGGGTCCCTCCAGGTGAGACCTGGGTGCCCAGCTCCCCATTTGCCCTTGGCATCAGGGGCCCCTAGCTCCTTTCTTCAGGGCCCCAAGAGGAAACTGGAGTCCAGGATTGACCAGCTGTAATCAGGGGACCCCACTGGACTCTTACCAGTGAATTGATGTTTTCAGTGAGTTGACTGATTATTGCGGAGCTTGAATCCAGGGCCACTGCTAGTTCTTGGTACTGGCTCTGAGGTGCATGCAGAGAGAAGGAGTTGGAGGAAGATTGTGGGGAGGGGTAGAGAGAATAATCATTAGGGCTGGTGGGGGTGTGTGGGCTGCCTCAGCTGGCAGAGGGGCAACAAGCCCCTGCTGTGGGAGGAGGTTGGAGGGCTGGCCTGCAGGGTCACTGCACCTCGGCCCAGGGCCTCTTACCTCCAGATCCTCCAGGGTAGTAGAGGATGCACGGCCCTCCCCGTAGATACCTGTTGCTGACTGCAAGAGATGAGAGTGCACATGGAGATGTTCTGTCCCCCCTCACTGTCTAAGCCCTCTGACTTCCTTTCTTCCCCCATCAACTGGCAAAAGCTTCTTTTCTGCCTATCTTGGACCCTTTTTCCCATAACTCCTTTGTGCCAACTTCTCTCGTGGTTCTTATCTCCCCACCATCCCACCCTGGGGCCCTTTCAGTGACTCCTAAAGGGACAGCCTGATGGCAAGTGGCTCTTCTCATTGGCCTGGCTTCCCCTTGAGACTGGGGATGAGGAAAATCAAACAGCAACGACCATTTCCTCGGTGTCCTGGGTGTTTGCAGCAGGCCATGTACTAAGGATTCACATAAAAGCAACAATAACGAATCTCATTTAAACTTCACAAATGGAAGTCAAAAAATACCACCTCTATTATACAGATGTGAAAAGAGAGGCCCAAAGACCTCAAGCAACTTGCCCTAAATCATATGCTAATCAATCCCTAATCAATTCTTAGCAGATGGAGAGGCAGGATTCAAATCCAGAATTCTTAACCAGTACCCAACAGTCCATCTACAATCTTAACAATTACCCTCTACTGCCCCTTGGGCCCCCTGTCCCCAGGACCCTGGCCCGCCGAGACTCACATCCCCAGGTGAGTGGTAACCACCAGAAGTGGCTGTGTCAGGGCTACTGCCATTGATTTTCTTTTTCCTGTTAGCTCCTGCTGGAATGCCAGGGCTCTTCCTCTGCCAATATGCTTTTAACTGTGGGAAAGAAGAGCGGTAACACTCATGAGAATGATCAGCCCCTACAGCCACATCCTCCTTTACAGTTTTGACAAAATACCCTTATATACCATCTGATGTAATGCCACCAACAACTGTACAAGGTGTTGTCACAATCACTTAGTGACTGAGAGGGATTGATATCATGGATAGAAAAAAAAAAAAAAGAAAGATCAAAAAAGGCAATACTGGAACTTAAACTCAGTCCTCTGACTCCAAGCTCTGGGGTTTTGCCATGAATCAGCAGCTTCCAGGGACCAAAACCAGGGGCAGAGGTAGAAAAGTAAACATTAAGCAGGCAGGAACTGTAGGCCGTGTGGTTTAGAGTCATACATCCTCACAGGTCTGCTAGCGTGAAGAAGCGTACCAGTACCTCTCACACTTTCATATCAATGTGTCCTCATGGCAGAAGGCAGCTTTTCTATTAAATCTGGGAATTTATCAGAAAGAGGACAACCCAAGCCTCATTTCAGAGCGAAGTCTGGTATACGCTTGGAAACCTATGTGTCTGTCATCCCTAAGTACATTAATGCATTTTCTCAAGAGAATCAAGGGAAAATGATGCTTCAGAAAGATGTCCCACATTTATCCTGTGGCACTCAAAGTACCCCAGGTTGAGACGATATGAGGAAGATTCAAGCTGTCAAGTTCAGTTTCCCAAGATCTATTCCACAGAAGATGAGCAAATCTCACTTCAGAGGCCACTGACTGAAGGGCAGTCTGGTCCCAGAACCGTGGAGAACTCAGAAAAAAATGTTAAAGTCTCTCTGGAAAGTAGAAGCCTGGGAAAAAACCAAACCAAACCCATTCTCCCATTGCCACCCAGAGATACTGTGAACATTTTGAGCTCACAGGGGAAGTGTAGGCTTTTCCCACTGTCAATGTCTATGTTAAGGGAGTAAGGCAGCCTGAAACCTCTTGCTCCTAGGTCCCATAGTCTCCACTCCCCTTCCAGCTGGAAATTTGTGCTGCAACCAGAGGAACCAGAAATGGGGTGAGAAAACTTAGGGGACTGGGTTGTAAGATCAAAGGCCGGTCTTGCAGCAGTAATGACAGTTCCTAGGGGCACTGTGACATCATTGCATTCCACTCCTCCCAGGGGAGGGGACCACATCAGCGCGATGCCCGAGTCGCTGCTCCACGATGGGGGAGGGAAACACACGGTTTCGACCCAGGTCCTCAGAGACGCCAGCCCAAGAAGCCTAGGGAGGTCGAGCTTGGGGCAGCAGGAGGGGAGGGCAGAGTCTGCAGTAGGGAGCCCCGGGAGTCACCAGCCCAAAGCCACCCAGGGATGACTGGTGAGGGCAGGGCCTGGGGCTGGGGGACCCAGGTCCTGGGAGACGCAAGCCCAAAGAGCCCAGGGAGGTTGGGCTTGGGGTGGCAGGAGGTGAGGGCTGATTATGGAGCAGGGAGCCCCAGGAGTCACCTGCCCAAAGTCACCCTGGGGTGATTGGCAAGGGCAGGGACTGGGCTGCTTGCTGAAGGGGTGGGGCTGACTGACTAGGCTTTGGTTGGGGGAGCCCAGAGGGGCTGGGGTTGGGGGGCCCCATCTGGTATGCCTCAGGAGTGGTATGGACTCTGGCACCGGTCTTGTCATCGGAGGGGATCTGTGGCTGGGTTGGGGGCCATGACCTGGTGTGTTTTACCTTTTTCTTGGCTGCGGCCAATTTCCCCTGTTGTGTTTTTTCTGACATCGCGGGGTGGGGAGGGAGGCGGGGTTGGGGCCACATCAGCGAAATACCAGTGAGCACTGCTCAATGCCTCCAGTCACCTACCAGGCAGCTGTGCAACTGAGCCACAGGTGGCGTAACCAGGGCACCAATGGAACGCAGAATAGGGGCGTGGCCTTAAGGCTCCAAGCCCATTGGTCAGTGAGAAAGATGAAAGGGAAAGGAGGCGTGGCCAGGCAGCAGCATGTCCAGAGGGACCTGTGGCATCATAAGGAAAGCTGCCCATGCAACTGCTGTCCCCGCCCACTAAGAGGGGAGGGGCCACCCACTCTGGGAGAGGGGAAGGGCTGGCTTTTGCTTTAAAAGCTTTAAAACTGTTAAAAATAAACTTTAAAAAATATATGTGTGTATACTTTATATATGTGTGTCTGTGTGTATCTATGTGTTCCTCCAGAGCTGTCTTCATTATCCAGCTTCTATGCAAAGTCTATGATTTTGGCCTATATTTTTCATCTTCAAATGGAGCACAAGAATTACAAGTATTACCTTAACTGAGATATAGATCCTATAAAAATGGAAAATCCATAGCATTCTTGATGATTAATGAAGCCGACTATAGTATCCGACATTCCAATAACAGAATATAATCACAATGATTTCTCTTTTTTGGAAAAATGTTTGTCTTATTCTCCTACATTATTGTTAAGATTTCTTTTAAAAACAAGAAACATGTCTAATATCTTTAAAAACACAAAGCTTTTGGGCCAGGTGCGGTGGCTCACCCCTGTAATGCCATCACTTTGGGAGGCCGAGGTGGGTGGATCGCCTGAGGTCAGGAGTTCGAGACCAGCCTGGCCAACATGAAGAAACCCTGTCTCTACTAAAAATACAAAAACTAACCAGGTGTGGTGGTGGGTGCTTGTAATCCCAGCTATTTGGGAGGCTGAGGCAGGAGAATCACTTGAACCCAGGAGATGGAGGTTGCAGTGAGCCAAGCTCATGCCACTGCACTCCAGCCTGGGTGACAGAGCAAGACTCCATCTCAAAAGAAATAAAATAAAATAAAATAAGATACAAAATAAGTAGGAACACAAAACTTCCAATTTAATAAGCACTTAAAGCTCTTTATTGGTTTAAAACAAATACAAGGCCCACTTTTCTAGAATCACCAGGCCTCTCTAGGCCTTGCAAATGAAACTGAATTTCTCACTTGATACCTGGCTATGACTTGCAGTCATGAAAACCAAGAATTGTGTTATGTCACTGTGTACTGCTTGTTACCTGAAATCCACACTAGGCTGGGATCAAGGGTTGAATCTTTCATGATTTTCTCCATAACCTGTGTGCTTCTTATCCCAGACTGAACTAAGCTTTTTTCTAGAGTTCTACAATTTACACTTAATAGACAAGAGTGGTTCTCAAAATGTAGTCTATGGACTAGCAGCACCAGCAGCACCTGAGACCTTTTTATAAGTGCAAATTCTCAGGCCCCACCCTGGACCTGGTGAATCAGAAACTCTGGAGTAGGGTTCAGCAATCTGTGCTGCAGTAATCCCTCCAAGTGTTCAAGAACCTCTGGCATACAGCAGGTAGAAAAATGTGTTTCCTTCTGTAGGTCCAAAGCCAGGGTTACCATATGTTCTGCCTTGTTATGAAACAATGACATGCAATTAAAAGACAAGAATCTCCTTCCTACTCGCACCCTCCATCCAATGTGTTTTATTTGTATGAGTTCCATAAGAAAAACAAGCGGCAATCAGAGATTTAGTCTAAAAAGTATGTTTACAAGTGTCCGTTCTCATCCAGCCTGATCTCCTACAAAACCATTTACATCCTCTTACATCTCAAGTTTTAAAAAAGTATCTTCACAATGTAAGACTCACGCACACTAGCAGTTCTATAATAAAACACCAAGTAGATCAGAATGTCCAACCTTACTAGAGAAGAAAAGTGGAATCATTGGCTATATTTTCAAATTGCATTCAACAGGAAATTTAAGTTTTGAATTTTTTTCACCTTTATACTTCCAAAGTAATAGAATTAAACCAGAATACGCCATTCTTTCAAAGCCTCTAGCCAGGCAAAGTTTTACTGTATTATTTCTTGCTTTCAATGGATATAAAGCAGATTCCTGGTAGGCACATTCTGTATACCTGCAAAGATGCAGAACTAAACAGTTCCATCTGTTCAATATTAAACCAAAAGTCCTGTAGACCTCGAATGGTGAGTGTAATACTTCAGCACTAGCCCAAAACCTCAAATATGAAAAGATACCAAGAACACCACTAGCAAACAAAACTAAACTCTCGGTCAGGAGCAGTAGCTGACACCTGTAATCCCAGCACTTTGGCAAGCCGAGGTGGGAGGATTACTTGAAGTCAGGAGTTCAAGACTAGCCTGGGCAGCATAAAGAATTCACATCTCCACAAAAATTTTTGAACATTAGCTGGGTGTGGTGGCACATAGCTGTAGTCCTAGCTACTTGGCAGGCTGAGGTGGGAAAATTGCTTGAGGCGAGGAGTTCAAGGCTGCAGTAGCTATGATTATGGCACTGCACTCCAGTCTGGGTGACACAGCGAGACTTAGATAATTACATTTTCTCCTGCTCCTGTTTACACTAAAATCACGAAGTTAAAAGGCTTTCAAATTTGGCAGGATAAAAATTAAGTGAAATGTGACTTTGGAGCTTGGCTAGTGAAAGAAAGAAAGAAAAAAAGGGAAGAAGGAGGGAGGGAGGGAATAAAGAAAAAGAAAGGAAAGGAAGAAAGAGAGAGAGGGAAAGAAGAAAGAAAGAGAAAGAAAAAGAAAGAGGAAAGAAAGAGAGGGAGGGAGGGAGGGAAAAGAAAAGAAAGTAAGAATGGAAAGCAAGAAAGAAAAGGAAAGCAAGGAAGGAAGAAGAAGAAAGAAAGAAACAAGGAAAAGAAAGAAAGGGAAAGGAAAGGAAAAAGAAAAGAAGAAAAAATGAAATGACAAATTACTTACTGGGAGAAAGTTTTGTCACCTCAATGACAGATAAAAGGCTTGCATCCTTAGACTATAAAGAAATCTTTAAAATTACTGAGAAAAAAAAACAAATGATTTTCAACCGAAAATGGGCAATGGAGAAACTGGCACTTCTCACAAGAATAAAAATGGCCAGTGGCATATACAAAGATTCAAAAGCACAAGAAATCAAAGAAATGTCATGAAAACAATGAGATTTTCTGTATAAAGGCAGGAAAGATGACAAATGGAAAGGGGAACCTGGAGCTCTGTCCTTGTTGGTGGGAGTATAACCTGAGTCACTTTTCCTGGAGAATGATTTGAAAATTTCTATTAAAAACCCTAAAAATTATTTTCCTCCAGAAATTCTACTTCTATGAATTCAGTCCAAAAATGTTTGCTCGAGCCCATTAAAATGTGTGTATAAGAAAATTCACCTCTGGGGTGGCAGTGATTAACTTAATATACATCCAGCTATTAAAAATGATGATGCCAGGATATATTTACTGCCACAGAAATATGCCCAAAATATAGTAAGTGACAAAAGACTACATACTACGATTCTACTTTTTAAAAGGTTTATGTGCATAAAAACGTATAAAAAGCAACAAACCACAATGTTTTGAGTGGCAAATTAAAGATTTTTCTTAATATTTGTCATCCAAATTATTACAAAAAGAATGATTTCCTTTATAATGAGGGAGAATTGTTATTTTCATTTATTTATATTTAAATCTCTTTTCTTTTTCTGATTTTGTTTTCTCCTGTATGTATCCCATGTAGGCTAGAATCCCTGCCTCTTGAGGTAAATCAGCCCATTTTTGGGAAGTGCGCTACAGAAAGCTGCCCCAGCTTCCTTTTAAGAGATCTGGAGACATTTTTTATTTCAAATTGTTTTATCGTTCTCAGATTATTTTGTTTAATATATGAAATTGAGGAAAAGACAAAGGAAAGGCTGACTCCCTACCCTCCTGGGGCTACTCTTCCAATTTTTGCTGCTATTGTTATATATTAATATTCACTGGGTACTAAAAAGATGGGCAGCCCCTTAGATCATTTGTTCTTATCTCTTTCTCATAATCCTACTTCATTCCTTCATTCACTTATTTTTAAAAAGGTCATGTGTACAAACACATGGTTCAGAAAATTTTTAAATATAACTACCTATAAAAGTATGTGGCCAAATCCCATTCACAGTCTTATTCTCCTTCTACAGCCAAACACTTTTAATTGGTTTCTTATATATCATTTAGGAATTTATGTTTGCAAATACACACGTATATTCTTATTCTACTCTTCTCTCTCAACACAAAAAGTAGCATACCATACATACTATACCATTCCTTGTTCCTCTTAAAACACACACAATATATGTGAGTTCTTCTACATGAGTACAGAGGTCTTTGTCATTCTTCTTTACAACCGCACAGTATTCATCGTTTGGATGTACCACAGTTTACTTAACCAGTTCCCTGTTGGTGGACACTGAAGTCATCCCTATCATACTATTACAAACAATAATGCCAAGCATAACCACCCACATACCAAGTTCATTTCTGAATCTGCCTTTGATGAAGCCTCTATTTGAATCACCACAAGGTCACAAGGCTGAAAAGTTAGCCAATTTTTTAGTTTTCATTATGTACAGCAGTATGTAGCAAAAGACTCCCTTGGGCAAAGCAAATGTGCTCTTTGGGGATTTACTGCATAACAATAAATGGATTAACACCAAGGAGAAATATTTCTATTTAACCATGCACATGTATGTATATAATACATGCATATGCATAGATAGTATACAATAAATCCATCAAAGCATTAAGCATTGTCTCAGTATGGTGGATCTATGGAGTGCTTTGTAGACAGCCCTCCTTGCCTATCAATTCTTTCTAGTTTCAAAACAGTGAATATGTACTATTTTTGCAATATAAAATTTCAATAAATGTTAACTCAAGCCAGATACATTCCTTCAGTCTGTCCTATATTTGTATGGTGCTCCAGAGTGCTCAAATATCATTTCATTAAAAAAATTTACTTATTTTTTTTCAAATATAGAAACAGGCAGGGCTTTGCTCTGTTGACCAGGCTGGTCTTGAACTCCTAGATCCTCCTGGATCCTCCCACTTCCACCTCCCAAAGTGCCGGTATTACAAGTGGGAGCCATCCGGCCCGGCCGGCTTCATTTGAGAAATATTTCCCCAGAACTCCATATATTATGAATAATTCCTTTCTTCTTGTTTAGATACCATCTTAGTCATATCTCTGTTACCTCACTTGTCACATGATAATCAGTTGCTCACCCATCCATCTCCCTTGATTGCTCGAGAAGAGTCTGATTTTCAGCACCTTGAACAGTGTGCAATACATACATGCTTCATACGCAGAGAAGGAAATGATATCACTACAGTGTAATTATTCCCAGAATTCAATGCCCGTATTTGTAAATTGTTCCAGATACTCTGCCAACAACCTGAGAATGTTATGTGTTTTCCCTAAAACTTCCATCCATTACTGAGTGTCTACGGTCATAGTTAACTCAGTTGCGATCTGACCTCTGGCCAAGCCCATTCATAGCTTGTATTATAGGTGATTTTTAATTTTAATTTTTGATTTTGATAGTTTCCTTTTTGTTTTTTTAATCTAGCAGTGTTTGGTAAACTTCAGCATCTCTATATCCCTGTGTCTTTGCACCTACTGGTCTCTGCTTGGAATAATAGCTCAAGGTTTTATTCACCTGGAAAAAATTTCTACTTACCCTTAAAGAATCAGCTTAAATAAGCCGGGCATGGTGGCTCATGCCTGTAATCCCAGCACTCTGGGAGGCCAAGGTGGGCGGATCACCTCAGATCAGTAGTTTGAGACTAGCCTGGCCAACATCGTGAAACCTCGTCTTTACTAAAAATACAAAAAATAGCTGGGTGTGGTGGTGGATGCCTGTAATCCCAGCTACTCGGGAGACTGAGGCAGAAGAATCACTTGAACCTGGTAAGCAGAGGTTGCAGTGAGCTGAGATCACGCCATTGCACTCCATCTTGGGCGAGAGAGCAAGACTTCATCTCAAAAACAAAAACAAAATCAGCTTAAATAATACCGTCTCTGAGAAGCCTTTATATCTTCCTATTCTTTCAGAAAGAGTTGAAAATTCCTCAACTCTTAAAACATTTGTGCCTCTATTATTATGTATCAGGCACTGAACTGAGTGCCTAGGAGACAAAGATGAAACTGTAGACCCTGCCCTCATGGAGTTCATGGTCTAGTATGGAAAACAGCCATATGAACAAATAACCATACTGTAGGTCTTCAGAGCTCAAACCCTATCCTAAATACTGCTAAATTAATATTCTGTGAGGTTTTGAAATTACTAGGGCCAGAGACAATATCGCTGTTTGGATGACTTTCCATCCAAGTTAACATTCGGCCCTCATCATCAAAGGTGGTATGTGTGTACCTCTTCCTTGCAACCCACCAGGGCCTAACACATCATATACCCACTTTTGAAATTAGGAAACAGCCTCAGAAGTCCAAGAGCTTGACCAAAGTAACTCAGCTGGTAGGTAGCAGAACCAGGTCGGTATGATTCTTCTTCAATATCCTCCAAGTTATATGGGCAAGTGGCCTCAAAATCAACAAAAGACAAGTAGAGGTTGACATGCATTAATGGAGAGAGGCTCAAAAGGAAGAGTTTATACACAAGAATAGAACAGAAATGTTCCAGAAGTATGTCTGGGGATGTGAAGTAGGAGGGGGCACACCAGGTTTCACCTTGGTCAAGTGAATCTATAATTCCAACCTGGGCCTCACCCCTGAGCTCCAGACTTAGCTATCTGTTTTTCTCACTCTAATATAAAATCCATAGGGCAGGACTTAATCTCTAGGTTGTTCATCACAAATTAAAGCAGAGTCTGGTTTATAGTAAGTACTTAATAAATAAGTAAACAAACTATCAAAGAAGCTAAAGAAACATTCTACACTCTTGGGGGAAGGGATTACCATGAAATGCCATCTGTCTTTTTCCTACTTTTCAGTATTTGGGGTGTTCTTCATTGAAAAAGATTAGCTTCTTGAATGTTCCAGATAGGAAGAGAGAGGGAGAGGGAGAGAGACAGGAACAGAGAGAAGTTTCATATTTTAACTATGGTTCAATTCTAAGCATTCTAAAATTGTATTGAGTTTTTTATACCATGAATTACAAGGGTGTTTAATTTCCAAATTCATGTAGCTTTTTGTTAATCTCTTCATTATTGCCTTCTAACCTTAATTGCTTCATATTTAAATTATAAATTATATGGTGTGGATGGTACCAATTGTTTTTAAATCTTCTGACTTGCTTTACGAATTAATATATAATTAATGTTTCTCCCACAGTCCACATATGCTTGAGAAGAATATAGAATATCTAATTATTGGGTACAAAGGCCTATATTTGTCCATTACACCATGTCCATTCACTGGTTATTCAAATCTACATATGGGCATTCTGTGTAACTTACTTATGGTAAGCAGGGTATGGTGAAATCTCCAAATATGCTGGCAGACTTGTCAATTTCTCCCTGTGGTTTTATCAGTTTTTCTCCTGCATTTTGAGGCTATTTTGACAGGTACATAAAATATGAAAATTGCTACATCCTCCTAATTAACAGTCAGCATCAAGTTTCTTACTAATGCTTTCTGTTCCAAAATCCTTTTTTGATACTGAAGCTCCATCACTTGTTTTTGGTTAATGTATACTGCCATATCTTCATTACTCTCTCTCCTTTATAAAAACTTTCAATCTTCTCATATCCTTATATTTTAAATATGATGGATTAAAACAGCTGGATATTCTTTTATTAGTTCCACCTAACTGGTAACTTTAGTCCATTTACATTTGTTGTGACTGATTTATGTGGACTTCCTTCTATTGCCTTTAGAACTTCTATTTCTCTCACTTTCTAATATAATTTTAATATCTCCTCCTGGGATTCCACTAAGACATATTTTAGACCTCATTCTGGTCTCCCTCCCCCTACAACCCCACCAACTTCTGCCCTATCATCTATCCTCATGTCTCTCTGTGTAACATACTGACTCACTTTTGGGAGATAATTGTCTAACCAACTAATTCTTTCTTCTGATGTCTAATCCATCCACTGAGTTTTTTATTTCAACAATTACATTTTTTATTTCTTTATTTCATTTTATTCTGAGACGGAGTCTCACTCTGTCACCCAGGCTGGACTGCAGTGGCATGCACGTGCAGCCCTTGCCTCCTGAGCTCAAGTGATCCTCCCTCCTCAGCCTCCTGACTAGCTGTGACTACAGACACGTGCCCCATACCCAGCTACTTTTTTTTTTTTTTTTTTTTTGGTGGTGTTGGGGTATTTTTTACAGAAACGAGTTCTCACCATGTTGCCCAGGCTTGTCTCCCCAACTCCTGGGCTCATACCATCCTCCCACCTCGGCCTCCCAAACAGTGCTGGGATTACAGGTGTGAGCCACCAGACCCAGCTATATATTTTATTTCTGTAAGTTCTAGTTCATCCATTTTCTTTTCAGGTCCTCCTCCTCATTCCTGGTGGCCTTTCTGTTGCTCAATTTAATGAGTCCATCTTTCTTTTATATTAGGTTTGACATGTAACTATTTTCTCACAATTCTAATATTTGAAGTCTGTGTTCTGTATCTGATAATTCCAAAACCTAGTCTTTGGGAAACATATTCATTGTTTCTAACAATTCTCAAATATGTTGGGTTGAGACTACTTGAATGCTATGATTTGACTGAAATCATATTTGCCTGCTTTTAATCTTTGGGAATCCTACAGGCTTAAGTTAGAGATGTTTTCCTACAAAAAGTATCTGTGTCTGCTTCTGATGAGAGCTGTGGGTACAACTAACATGAGACCACTTTACCACCATGCATAATCCTGACATCCTCTTGGATTCTCTTGGAGCATCTCAGCATTACACAAGGTTCTCAGATCTGGCTCCCCACCCTTGCTCATTTATACACAGAAGACTAGACTGCTTAGTATAGGTGGTGACTCACTTCCTGCTACCCTGGAAAAAACAAAACGGATCTCTCATCTGAATGTGATCACAGACTAGGAAATTCTGAAGGTGAATAACTAGAGGCTGTGGGCAGCAGGCAAAGATAGGTGTCTTTCCTGACCATAGAAATAGGTCAGAAGCTGCCCTAAAGGCTGTGTGCTACAGCATTTCACTATTTAGCTCAACTACCATTCCCTCCATAAGTGTGAGTGGAAGTTTCTTAGAGCACCATATTGCCTTTAAACAAAACCAAATTTTTGCTCAAAAGTCATGGTCATGGAAAACAAAACAAAACAAAACAAAAAAAACCCCTCTGGCTTTGGAAGACTTTCTCAGTAATGTCCTGGAATTAAGGTTACAGCCTGCATTTCATGTTAACTGAACAGAAAACCAGCCTCCAACATCCTTCTGCCCCGTGGCTTGCTCTCAGCTCCTCTTGGTTGGGCCTAGGGCAGTCAGACTGTCTGGTTCCAATCCTTGCTCTGCCACCTGTGACTTTGGACAAGTTACCTACCTTCAGTTGCCTCATCTGTAAAATGCAGATATTAATAATACCCTCTTTTAAAGTTATTAAGAGGATTGAAAGAGCTAATAAAAAGTAAAAAATAAAAAGACTTGGTAAGCATAGGCACAGAGGGAAACAAAAAAAGTAAAAATAAGTAAATAAAAAGACTAGTGCCTAGCACATAAAAGTTCATCAGGAATTAATTTTATAACATGAACTCAATTTTGCAAAACTTCAAAGTACATATAACTTTTACTATGGTATACATAACAATAATAAATTTACAACTGTAGACATGTTTCTCTACAGTAAATATAACAAAGACTAAACAATCAGATACTAAATCATTAAGTGATTATCAGTTAGTAACTTTAATTTTCTTACACTTCTATATTTTCTATAGATCATCTTTTTAACAAAAAGAAAACAAACCAAATGAAAATGAAATGAATTCTCTCAAAAAGAATTAAGATAGGAAGAAGGCTCACAAAGTAGCATAAAATATATCTTATGGTTTATGTAAAATTCTTAATAAAAGTACCTTCTTTGCTCCAAGCTGCACTCTGGCTTTGCCTTTGACTCAGGTGGCTTTTATTTGCATGATGACTGATTCTATCGAGTAGGCACTGCTTCAGCCCTACAGGAAGAACAAAACATCTCTAGAGCACAGCAGCGTTCCTGATTCCCACTTGAGAAGGCCTAACAAAATGGCATACAACTTAACAGTAGCAGACCAGTGTTAAAAAGTCTGGAGTCAAGGGGAAAAGGTAAAATTGGAATGTTTCCAGAATCTCACAAAAAAAAAACAACAAACCGATGTTCTAAGTGCCCAACATGAACAAATTAGAACCTTAAATAAAGGTCAGTGTTAATGCCAATACTAGCATAGGTTCAGCACCAAGCACAATGTTATTTTACTGGTTTACCTTTCTCATTCTTTTTTTTTTTTTTTTTTTGAGATGGAGTCTCACTCTGTCACCCAGGCTGGAGTGCAGTGGCACCATCTCAGCTCACTGCAAGCTCTGCCTCCCGGGTTCACGCCATTCTCCTGCCTCAGCCTCCCGAGTAGCTGGGACTACAGTCGCCTGCCATCACGCCTGGCTAATTTTTTTGTATTTTTTAGTAAAGACGGGGTTTCACCGTGTTAGCCAGGATGGTCTCAATCTCCTGACCTCGTGATCCGCCCGCCTCAGCCTCCCAAACTGCTGGGATACCTTTTTCATTCTTGAAAGTAGGAGCTACGGAAAAAAGCAAAACAAAACAAAACAAACAAAAAACCACTAAAATGTCTTTAAGAGAGCCATCTACTTACGATCTAACTTACATAATCAAAACACTCTATTCAGGGTGAAAATTGAGTATAATAAGAAAATAATCACCTGTTTTGTGAGAGGTTCCATATATAATGCTCCTCTACCCAATACATACCTTAAAAAGAAAAAAGGAAACATACAAAATTATCTTGAGGAGTATTCCTGCTTAAACAATTTCCATGTGGCATTATTAAGAAAGTATGCACACAGTAAAGATAAGAAGAGAACACGTAAGCATGAACATACTTGTTAGGCATATAGGACTATGGGTAATTTAAAAATTCTAATGGTATTACTCTCATGTAATTGCTCTGAAATTCTAGTCAATTGTTTGAAACGGCAATCAGAACAGAATACTTTAAAATTTTTATGTCAAAAACTAAGAACTTGGCCCTAAATATTCCAAAGAATAGGGGCAGAAGAACCCATTTCCTTAAATGGCATTTGAGTATTCTTTACAATGGAAACTTTCTCTCCCATCCTGTGATTGCCAAGAGTTTTTCCTCTGACAATGGCACTGACCCTACCCTATCCAAAATATGAACATCTGCATGGTTTCATGGTTCAAATTGTTTTTATCCATTCTGTTGTGAGAATCGAATGGTTCACACCATGCGGCTCCTCTCTGGGACTCCTCAAGTCCTTTCTAGGTCTGAAGACTGTTCTCTGAACCAAAGACAACTTCTGGGGATGTACCAAATCTCCCATTAGAAAATTATTTAGCTCAAGATGCTTTAACCTTTTAACTCCTTCTCAAACAAAATAATTTCATTTCTCCTCTAACGTTATTTTAAATTTCAAAATACACAGATAGCATGCCTAAAGTAAAATCAAGGGAATGATAGTTTTAGAACAAAAACTGTGGTAATTTTGAAAACACAAAAGCTAAGACCACTGATTAGATCTATGTGGACACCAAGTCCATCACAAACTGTTCTGTCCTCCGGGGCTCTGCCCACACCTTTCCCTTGCTTGAGATTCCTTCTGCTTCCTACCCTTCCAAATGCCGTATTTCCCCCAAGAAGACTCGCCAAGACCACTCTAGCCTGCACATCTTCCATTCCAGCTAACCAAAGGCATCCTTGCATTGACTAAACCAAATTATTTTGCAGAGAAGGCATCTAAAAACTTCTACTGTAGACCATTCACCTTAATAATTGTTTTCATGACATTATTCAATAATAAAATGAGGGAAAGAAGTCTTCTTTAACTCCCTTGCCCTGGAGAATCCAAGCAAGTGTCTTTCCCACTTGCTTTGCCCAAACCCTGGGAACTTTCAAAGTGAAAGTTTAATGGAAGGAAAAGAAAATCTAAAAGAAAAACTCTCCAAAAAATTAAACTCAGGTAAAGAATCATGGGATTAAAAATTTTTATTCTTTGTGTATTTGATTTCTGAAACATAGAAATCTATCTCTCACTCCTTAAATCTGCCACTGAGCTAAAAGAGTATTGTATATAATGTGCACTCACTGATTTAACAGAATTAGAACATCCAGGCACTCACTCAGATTTTGGTTCCACAACTGCTCAAAGTCTAGTCATTAGTTAATGGGTTAACACCACACTTGATCTTCAAATTTTGGAGATGCTGATGGTAGACAGGAACTTGTTTTGGGAAAAGGAAGTATATTGTAGACATTGTCACCCATTATCCAACCATCACCACCTTTCCTTTAAAGTACCCCACTCTTCCTTTAAGGTTGCAGAGTCTCAGAAAGTGGGAAGAAAGGAAGTTTTTGCATTTTCAGGTCAAAAGACAGTACATTTGTACAACCGCATAATACCTATGCAAATGTTTGTTGAAATCTAAACAGAAGACAGAAGTAGTTCTAGTACCTTCACTAGATAAGTAAGATAAGTAAACTTTTCCTTAATATACACTTTCAGCAGCGTTGACGCCTAAAAGTGGTCGACTCCACTACTGTATTAAATGACATTCATTTTGTCAATATGTGTTCCAAATTCTTACTGCTCTTTGTCTCCAAAGGGGGGTTCCTACTGAATATTGAGACAGTTCAAGAATACTAGGGAAAAAAATTCTAATAATTGAAGTAAGGGTCATCTAAGGATAATATGCCACATATACAGACACAGTAATATTTTCAACTTAAAAAAAATTCAGTTATCAAAGCTGTACAGCAAACTATCCTAAGCTTTGCCTCTTCAGGCATTTGTTTTATAATCACTTCAAAGAAAAGTCAGTCACAAAATGCCACATTTTGTTTGATTCTATTTATATGAAATATCCCGGATAGGCAAATCTACAGAGACAGAAATTAGATCAGAGGTTGCCAGGATGAACGGTGGGGGAGACGAGCACACAGAGCGACTGCTAATGGGTATGGGGTTTCTTTTTGGGGAGAAGAAAGGGTTCTGAAATTAGCTAATGGTAATGGCTGCATAACTCTGAATATACTAAAAACCACTGAACTGTACACTTCAAAGGGTGAGGCTTATCATATAAAAGCTGTATCACAATAGTTTAAAAATGTTTGGGTATGTCAAGAAATAAACAATAGGATCATAGCTCAAAGATATGGGATATAAAATATATGGAACAAAACTGCTCAATAATCTATCTAGAATCACACAACACTTAAGCTTTACCCTGACTAAAATTGCAAGCCTGGTGTTTTATTGGTATTTCACATTTTTTACTTCTTCCTAAGTCAGCCAATAATTCCTCCTCCTTACTTAATATTTGACTATGAAGACCAAGCCATTTTGATTCTGCCTCCAATGGGCTTTCACATTTCATTCCTCCTTCCACTCCCATGACTACCACACCTATGTAAGTTCTCCTCACTTCACTCTAAGACAACAGCATGGCCCTCAACTACTGTCACACTCTTCTAGGCTCTGTGAGCACAATGTGTCTCATATTCTCTTCTGCTGTCACCAGATTTATTCGAAAACAGTTTCTTTACTCTTACTCCCATTTCTCAACCAGTTACATAGAAAGATGAATATCCAGGGGTAATAGTTTACTTACCTGAAAAAAAAAAATCTGTCACCAATCCACAGAACTGTTTGAGTACAAAATATTACATCCGCAATATTTCCTACAACTCTTCTACATGAATCCTACCCTCCTTGCGTTATAGCTCAAATTGGTTTCGTATACTCTGAATTCCTCATTCTCTTTCCTAGATACCTGATTGTGTTTACTCTTCACCTACGTAAATAATTTTCCTGCAGCCTCCACCAGCTGACCAAACCCCACTCACATTTCACTGCCCAGCTGAGATCCCACCTACTTCATGAAGAGCAACTCTTTGCAGCTTTAAACCTCAGAGAAATTAAGTCCATGCTTAGCTTTTCTTTTTCTTTTTTGTTCAGATGCAGTTTATCTTTGTCACCCAGGCTGGAGCGCAGTGGCACAATCTCAGCTCACTGCAATCTCTACCTCCCGAGTTCAAGCGATTCTCCTGACTCAGCCTCCTGAGTAGCTGGGATTACCAGTATGCACCACCACATCTGGCAATTTTTTTGTATTTTTGGTAGAGATGGGGTTTCACCATCTTGGCCAGGCTGGTCTTGAACCCCTGACCTCAAGTGATCCACCCGCCTCAGCTTCCCAAAGTGCTGGGATTATAGGTGTGTGCCACCGTGCCTGGCCCATGGTTAGCATATGATAATCCATGCGGAACTTATAGTTCTTAGTACTTTTAATCTCCTCTTATATAGCTGGCATTTCATATAATGAAAAACACTTTACTAGGAATCAGAAGATTTATTTAGGTAAGTCACAAGCTGACTTATTATTCAAATTATTCATCCAAATAATGAGGACCATAACACACTGTGGCAAAAAAGAATCAATGAAGAAACTATGTAACAGATTTTAAAACTGAAAATGGCATGATTCATAACCTCATGTATTTGTCTCGATTCTAGGTGGTATACTAAGATCATAAACTTACATTCTTGGGATTCTTACAACCAAATGTTGAAAAGCTATACTGGTCTATTTTATAATCACATTTTAAAATGTTTTCATACATTTATCCTGAATTTGCAGATTTTTATGCAAATCTTTTCTTTGATCATTTTTTTTTTTCTCAAATAAGATTCTGAACAAAAAATGACCTGTTTTCCTTTCCCTATGCTTATGGGGATATTGAGTCAACATACACAATTTTATAAACCAGCACATAAAACTAAAGCACAATACTTATGTCCTTTCTCCCCAATCAGGAAGGGCTTCATTAAAAAGACATTTTGAAATTCAACTATGACAAACAAAAGAACTATGGCTTGGTGGCTAGTTAAAGGCTGCTGTAGTGAGCAAGAGACACAAAGGTTAAACATTTACTATTTTTCAGTCTTGTGTTTATTTTGTATACGTAAGTATTTGGCTGGGTTACCTAACACTGAACTTCCAAAGCTGACCATTAGGTTGTATGCCAAGAGAAGTACTTTTTATAGCAATTTTACTGCCAAAACCAAAACAGCCTAGAAAAGATTTAAAGGTAACAAAATAGTACACAATTCTAAACAACTCTGCTTCACACCCAACCTGGGACTTCCACTCCCCGTAATAGTATATTTGTGATCAACTTTGTAACAAGCTGTCAAAGGGAGACCTCTGACATCTGCTCAGGAAGGAATCACTTCAGCATGTCCTGCTCTGTACCAGAAAACGCATGGGGATCACTCAGAACTCCAGATTTCCAACAGAGCAGCATTTCCCAGAGTAAGCCAGAAGACACCATCCTCTGAGATGTTGTCAGGAACACTAATAAACAAATTTGGGAAAAATAGAAAATGGCATTAAGGCTCCAAGAAGTCCTTTGGTAAAAGACATTTTGAAGCTGCCTTCCCCAAAACCTTGCAATCCCCACAAAACAAATATCTATTACCATACCACTATATTAGCACTCACAGAACATTTGGGGAGATATGGCAAAGATTAGGCTGCAGGCGTCAGGTAAGTAAACTCTTAAAACACAATATTGAAAAAAATAGAAATTTAAAAATTAAAACAGAAAAGCAAAAGATAAGTAAATAAATAAAAAATTTTAACAAACAACATTGGGCTGGGCAAAGTGGCTCAGACCCATAATCCTAATACTTTGTCAGGCTCAGCAGGGTGGATCGCTTTAGCCTGGGAGTTCGAGACCAACATGAGCAACATGGTGAAACCCTGTCTCTATCAAAAATACAAAAATTAGCTTGGTATGCTGGCATACGACTGCAGTCCCAGCTTCTCAGGAGGCTGAGGTGGCAGGATGGCTTGAGCCTGGGAGGCAGAGGTTGCAGTGAGCTGTGATTGCACCACTCACTCCAGCTTGGGGCAACAGAGAAAGACCCTGTCTCAATAAAATTAAGTAATTAAATAATAAAACCAATATTCCTTTACTGTGTGGGGAAACTCAAAATGAGCTCAGCACATCCACATGTAATACTAAGGTTTTTTTTTTTTAAACCCACACTTCTTGTTTCTCTGAACTTTTACACACGGATATCATGTCCAGACAACTATTCCGTAGTATCAGCACCACAGTTAATATGTATTCTGATTATGCAAAATGATTCTTAACAGGATCTTAGCCCCCAAAACACATGCATAAGTATGTAAAGCAAATACAACTAAAAATAACTGTAGCAACAAAGCTCTTCTGGAGAAAAGTTCTGAAGTCTGAAGTAGTCACTCATATTTTTACCCTAAATGCAACTATTACTATCTCAACCATAGAAATGATCAAAGTAAGGGCTGGAGATATTTAGATTTTAATCACCATAAGGTGGATTATGTCACGTAATGGAATTAGTCAGCTGAGTATTTGAAAATCCTCAAGTTACTTTAAATTGCTCATACTTTAAGGGTCTACAGAACATTTCATAACTAACCTAGCAAACTGTGACTTTTCCCCACTTCTGTAAGACTTCCAATCACAAAAAAGAAGCAATACAAATTTCAGTAAAACTGCATGACAATTACCATTTGATTCTACTACACTGCAACTATCACCTCTAGAAGTAATCAGCCAGCTCCATAGGTCCATGAGATTTCCCATGATTATTCCTAGAAGTACTAATTAGGATCATAGGTATGTGGGGGACCACTCTGTAATCATAACGTTCTCTAAACCTTCAATCACAATTTACATTTGAAAAATCTTTGGTTTTTATGATAAAAAAAGTATGTATGAATATATATATATATGTGTGTGTGTATGTGTAAATATGTGCGTGTGTGTGTATATATATGTGTATATATGCATATATATAACACTAAAATCTCTACCTATCAACAACATAATGCTTTATAACCAGTGGTTCCAGATGTAGGCCCCAGAACAACAGTATCAGTTTCACCTGGGAACTTCTTAAAAACGTAAATGCTCAGGCAACACCACAGACCTACTGAATCTGAAACCCTGGGACTAGCTCTCCAAATGATTCTGGTGCACACTATATTAAAAAAAAAAATGTAGCCCAGGCACAGCAGCTCATGCCTGTCATCCCAGCACCTTGGGAGAGCAAGGTGGGAGGATCACTTGAGCCCAGGAGTTCAAGAACAGCCAGAACAACATAGTGAGACCTCATCTCTACAAAAAAATTTTTTAAACTAAAAAAAAAAAAAAAAGCATTTCAAGTAATCACTTAATCACTTAAACTTATGCTCCTGAGAGAACAGGTAACACCACTCAAACAAATGGAGGATCAAATGGAAAGTTATCCTAAAAAGCAAATAAGCAAGTTTAATTAATTTTAAGAACATCGTTAATACTATATACTATTTAGAAGATTTTAAAAGAATCTATAAAAGAATATGTACATTTATTATCAGATAATGGGTGAGAGTCATAAAGGTAAAATTAGTACAGAAAAAATGAAATGAAAACCAAAGCAAATAAAAATGAAGTTAAAATCAGGCCCAAACAGAACAGTGTTATGGTAAACTTATGTAACATATGAAGGGGTTTCACTTCAATAGAACTATATAAAGGAACCATTGCAATAATGATAGAGTAGGTAACTTAGATCAATCCTCTCACTGAGAACTAGAAAGGTGGACAAAATGTAATGATTACAGGGCTGAGAAAAGGGAATACCAGAGAACAGGGTCTTCTTTTTTACACCTTGGGTTTTCTTCCAATGACAGCAGAGAAGAAGAGGTTAACAAGCTGAGCTAGAACTCACAGCCTCACAGAGCTCACAGGGAGATAAACATTGGAGCTCAGCATCCACCGAGGAGAGGCCCTGCTAAGTCTCCCACTCCTTAGGTTGGGAATCTGAAGAGCAAACTGCAAAATGCCCCAACAGGGAATGATGGCCAGCTTTAATCATCTCAATCCCTGATTGTTAATTTCCAAGCCCCTGGCAGGGGAAATGTAAATCCTCTCTGGAGAAGAATATCATCCAAGGCTTCAAATTAGCTCTACAATTTTTCCATATATAATGTCTATCACTAAAAATAGAAAGCCACATGAGACTTAAAGATGACATAACAGAAAACAAGAGAAGCAAACAACAGACACAAAACCACAAGGGATCGAGATAACAGAGTTAGCAGACACACTTCAAAATAACTGCCGAACATGAGCAAGGAAAGATGGGACAAGACTGAAAACCTGGCAGAGAAACGCAAATTATAAAATGAACCATATGAAATTCTGCAATTTAGAACTACCAAAACTGAAATTAATAACATAATGGATAAGCTTAACCACATCAGTAACCTAGCAGAAGACAGATTCAGTAAACTGCAAAAAGGTCAGAAAGACAAAAAGGTGGAAAATTGAGAAAATAAAAGACAACATATTGAAAAGTTTATCACATACGTAGAGCACTGGAAGAAAAACAAGAATGGGACAGAAGCAAGAGCTGAAGATATGGTTGTGGAGAATTTCCCAAAACTGATCAAAGACTTCACAAGATTTAACCACCATAAACACTTCAAGAGAAACAATGGAAGCTGGCATAAGAGAATGATATCTGCCAAGTGCTGAAAGAAGGAAACTGCCCATCTAGAGACTTACGCTCAATGAAGATACTCTTCAATGATGAAATAAAAAGCAAGGATTTTTTCTATCTGCAGACTCACACTAAAGGAAATACTAAAGGATATTTTCAGACAGGAGAAAGAGGATCCTCTACATCAAAACCTGGGGACTCTATTCCATAAGCTCTGTACCCTGGAACTCAGGAATCAAGATTTTACAGAAATAAAAAGAGTTCTTCAGGGAGGGGAAAATAAAGGTTGAGGGTGACTGGTAAAATTAAGTTTGAGTTACCTTAGTATATTTTAACTCAGAACCAGACTCTCAGGCTCTACAAGGATCTCATGAAGTTATCTGATTTCCCATTTGACATCTCAGCCTTCTAAGTTATTCTTAAAGATGAAGAACATTCTAGTTTTCAAAGACTACATCACCAGATGGGTCTAAATAGTTACAAGTCACTTCCTTACATTGAGTTGAAAATCACCTCTTTGTAATTTGACTTATTAGTTCTAGTTTTATGCCCTGCCTTCACCAAAAAAAATAAAAACTAATGCTTCCATATACATACTCTTTCAAATAGTTGAAGACAATCTATCATGAACCAGAACCCCCATGTTTTCCTCTCCAAATCCACAATTTCACCAGCTATCCTAGGACATGGAAAAGAATCTCTTCCCAATCCTGGCTATTATTCTCTAAATGAACCTAACCTTATCTAAGTAGACCTTTCTTAAAGTGCTACCTCAGAATTCAATTCGGTAATTCTGATGTTGCCTGTAACATCAGAAAACGACTTCCTTAAAAGTACAGCAAGTTGGATTTACCAAGTTGCTGACCAGGGCACATTCCCTCCTGCAGTCACTCCCATCTTTGTGTTATACTTTATCTCAAGTTCAATTTTGCTTATTATTCACGACTCTCAAGTTGTCACTGTGGACATCAGAGGCCATAAACATATTGTTCTGGCTCTTTCCTGTAAATCTTTCTGAGTCATACCTGCTAATCTCCAAAGTCTGTGAATCCCAATACTAATAACTTGGCAATTCAGTTTAAGGTCCTCTTCAGAAGGTCAGTTAGCTCAAGGCAATCACATTCTTCCCAGGCCTCTTAAGAAATACTCCAACCCCAGAAAAGGCCCTTCTGTCTGGTATCAGGAGCCATGGGCCACAAACACAAATCCAATAGCATTTCAGCCATTTACCTCCCAGATCATCCCCTCCCTGAAGTTCTAACTAGAGCAGGAAAAAATAATGAAAACACCACCTGCAGTCACAAATCCTCCAGTTTCCTGGCCAAGATTTCATATTCCCTTCAAGATACCTCCCAAAGAGGACATGACAAGGGAGGGGCACAGAGGGTGCTACAGGTACTGATAAGGTTCTATTTCTTTTTTATTTTTATTTTTTGAGATGGCGTTTCACTCCTCTCACCCAGGCTGGAGTGCAATGGTGCAATCTTGGCTCACTGCAACCTCTGCCTCCTAGGTTCAAGTGATTCTCCCACCTCAGCCTCCCAAGTAGCTGGGATTACAGGCACCTGCCACCACGCCTGGCTGATTTTTGTATTTTTAGTAGAGATGGGGCTTCGCCATGCTGGCTGGGCTGGTCTCAAACTCCTGTCCTCAGGTGATCCACCTGCCTCGGCCTCCCAAAGAGCTGGGATTATGGACGTGAGTGAGCCACCACGCCCAGCCAAAGGTTCTATTTCTGAAGTTTGGTGTTGCGCATATGTTCATATGATTTAATGTTTTTTTTAAAAAATGGTATCTTCCTGTTTAGTGTGTGTGTGTGTTTTTTTTGTTGTAGGCCCGTGTGCTTCATTCGTTCACCCATATGAATCCGTAAAGAAGTAGCCATTAGCAACTTCAGTCAATATACACTGGATTCATACTTCAGGAAGACAACTCAGTTGACAACCACAACAGTTTCTATGATAACAAAATTGAGAGAAAATACTAACATTAGGGTCATTTCAAGAAAGTTCAATCATAAGATATATCCCCAAGCAAAAATACACACATGAAAAAGCTAAGTAAGAAGCTTTTAGAAAACTACTACCATCCTTAAAGTACAACAAAGTATTCTTTTATGTCTGTGTGCTTCATCAAAATACTTCATATAGCCATAGATTTTAAAACATTACATCTTATCTAGATTCCATATTAGATCATTAACATTTTTTCTAGATTCCATTCTTATTCTTTTGTAACCTTTTAGTATCTTAAAAGTACTTTATTAAATATAACACATTCAGAAAAGTACACAAAGTATACCTTAAGGTAGACCTTAACAAGTTATTCTAAATTATTTGCCCATGTAACCACCAACCTGGTCCAGAAATATATTACAGCCAGTATCCAAGAAGCCCACAGATGTACCTTTCAGTTCACACCTCCCTACCTCCCACCTAGATGGACTCCTTACCCTACCCTGTGTGTAATCGCCTCTTTTTTCTTGATAGTTTTACTGCCCAAGTATGAATCCATAAAGAAGTGTTCCTCAGTTTTCTTTTATGTTCTATGGCTGTTTGGAGGGCAGCAGACCATTATAATAGGTCAGATTTTCTTTCACTCTGAGGACCAATTTTCACTCCACTGCAGGCGATATTGCCTCCGCTAAGAATGTATGCCCTAACCAACATTAGTTTTGCCTATTTTTGAACTCTATATAGAGGAAATTGTACAAAATAGGTTTTGGGGGTCTGGTCTCTTTTGCTTAACATAGTGTTCAAGATTCGCTCATCTTGTCCCACATGACTGTAAGCCATTTTATGAATACCACAATTCTCCATTTTATTGGAATGAACATTTGGGTTATTTTCTGTTTGGGGTTATTATAAACGATGCTGCTCTGAACATTCCTGTGTCTCCTGGCACATATGTACTCATTTCTTGTGGAGTATATATCCACGAGATTCCTGAACCATAGGGTATGAGTATCTTCCACTTTACCAAACTGTTTTCCAAAACACTTGTACAAATATATACCCCCATTCATAGGATATAGAGTCTCATAAAAATTTTCTTACCTTAAAACATAAGCAAAATGTCTCCTATCTCTTCTTTTTCTTTTAAGATCTGAAGATCACTGTGCAAAGAACTATCAGGGTCAACCTTGAGAATTCCAAAACAAAAAACAATTCAAACAAAAAGATTATTATTATTATTTGTATTAATTTTACTAACTCAAAAATGAACCAATCTGAAAGCTAAAATACAGCACCTAGGGTAATTTCCAGAAAGAGGAGACCTTAAGCTGCTTTATATCCCCAGGAAAACTAGAGGCCACTATAGCTTCCAGCTCCTTTAGAATAAATGTCCCAAAGAGATTATAATAGCCTAAATCTAATCGAATAAGGGGGTTCAGAGTTTGCAGTCATTCTAAAGGAAAACAGTCACATGTATATAATTTTCTCAAGAATTCAAAAAAAGTTTAATATGCTTTCCTAAACTTGTATTACTAGCCAAGCTGTTCAAGGAGAAAAATTTGCCATGGACAGAGCTGTCAAAAAAGTTAAATCACCAAAAAATTGGTATTTTTCTACAACTGTCCTATATATACATATATAAATATGTATCCCACCTCCCACTCTCCCTTTTTTTTGTTTTATGACACAGGGTGTCTCACTCTGTCACCCAGGCTGGAATATAATGGTGCAATCACGGCTCATTGCAGCCTTGACTTTTCCAAGCTCAAAAGATCTTCCTGCCTCAGTCTCCTACCACCCTAGTAGCTGGGACTATAAGTGTACTCCACCTATATATTTTAAAAGTAATAACATAACTACCTCCACAATAAGAGTTGATTATGTTGCTTTCAAAACTGGGGGAAAAAATCACAAAATCAACTTGGCAATCATTCTCTGTATATTGAAATGTATTATTTGTATTAAATTATCAAGCAATATTGCTCAAGCTTTTTGCCAGAAGATAAAAATCATGCAAATATTCACTCTATCAGGAAGATGGCAAAATAAAATTCCAATGGACCTATAAAAACAATTTCTTTAATTCCAAAAAACAAGCAAACTCATCCTATCTTACTCCCTACATCTTTTGGAACTTGATTACATTTGAGTTTCACAAAATAAAGCTAGTAAACATTTCCATTTCTGTCCAGTTTTAAGAAACGACATTTATAATCTGACAACAGAAAAGAACAAAAGAATGATAAGAAGAGCAGGGATTTGGAGATCCTTACCTGTCTTATAACTCTGTGATCTGTATAAGTCCCTGAACTCTTTCTTAAGTCTATCTGAAGCTTGCACTGACCCAGACACTGCAGCCTGAAACACAAAAGCTGCTGTTTACCAGGGTCTACTGAGCCAACTAATTTAAAGATTTAAGGTATTTCAACCTGCTCTAAAAGATTACAGTAGCCAGGCACGGTGGCTCACACCTGTAATCCCAGCACTTTGGGAGGTTGAGGGGCGCGGATCATTTGAGGCCAAGAGTTTGAAACCAGCCTGGCCATCAGGATGAAACCCCATCTCCACTAAAAAAATACAAAAGTTGGCCGGGCATGGTTGCACGTGCCTGTAGTCCCAGCTACTGGAGAAGCTGAGGCAAGATAATTACTTGAACCTGGGAGGTGGAGATAGTAATGAGTTGAGATGGTGCCACTGCACTCTGGCCTGGGCCACAGAGCGAGACTCCATCTCAAAAGAAAAAAAAAGAAAAGAAAAAGATTACAACAAAAATGGATCACCATTCAACAATTTAAGAAGTAAAAGAAAAAAGTCCAATTAAATGAAGCATTATGAAGTTTCAAGGGAATATAAAACTAGACACAAGTCTGGTTCATTTCCATTTTCCTATCACCTAAAAAACTCTAGCCAACATGTTCATACCACCATGGACTCCACGATAGCACAGAATTCAGTATGAGTCTATTTCAAACCCCAGCAATATTTGAAAATACTCAAGGTGACACAATATTAAGTAAAATAGGCTTCCATTCATAAGACTACAAGCAAGAATATTACACAGATGGTCTAGTTCACACATGAAGACACTGAGAACCATGTGTGCCTACATGCAACTGGTTTCAGTTTTTCAGTGCAGGGACTTCTCTAAAGATGAAAACACATCGATATCTTATCCTAAGACTAAATAAAAATGGAACTACTTTTTGGTCATGTGAAACTAAAGCTTTTAAAGACTGCACTAGACTTTGAAGGGGAAAAAAAATCAAGTTTATAAAAATATTACCTCCTAGCTATATAATCCTGAACTAATTTCATATCTATAAAATATGAGTTTTTCCTATCTCTAAAGTATAAACAGCACCTATTTCACACAGTGGCTATGATGACTAAATGAAAAGATCTATAAAGTATTAAGTATAAAGTATTTAGCATAGTATCTGTCATACAAAATTATTCAATAATTTTTACTTGTTTTGAAGATAACTCAAAGTGGACTTGATCACAAGACACAGAAAGTACAGTAACATTAATTCAAATGCTACAATCTTAGTTTTTTAAATAATCAAGATATGGGGATTAACTAAATTTCTTTGCTGTATGAAAAATTACCAATTAAATTAATATACAAATAAGATTGAAGGGGGGAGAGTTATCTATCTGATTGCAACACTTGACATCTGCTTGCCTAACAATTCATTCCCTGTTTTGGAGAACCTGTGCCCAAGACAAAGTAACTGGTCCTCGGATATTGTGGAGTTGGTAAATAGCTCTAATACAAGGCAGGAAGCAGTAAGTGTTCAGACAATCATTTGATGTTTCCCTGCTCTGTCTAAGCATTTTATGTGTAACATGCATCATTTTAATTTATTTTTCATAGCAACCATCCAAAAGATATGTACTGTCTATCCATATTTTAGAGTTGCGCAAAGTGAAACCATAAAAGGTGTGTTTGTCACCAAACTCTGTGTTCCTTTCCCATCCTGCCGCTTCACATAAAAGAGATGTTAAGTCAAAAGAGAAACCCTACTTTTGGTTTGGTCAGAGCAGGATGGATCAAAGTCAGCTTCATGAAGGAGAAATAATTTGAGTTGTGTTTTGTAGGAGAGAATGAACTTGAATATACAGATGCCACAGAAGGAAGGTAAGCAGAGAACACAGCATAGACAAGCTGGAAAGGGGCATATACAGGGATCAGCAGGTGGTTCCAGGATGTGAAGAGCAGATCAACAGGGTAAAAAGTGGCTATTCATGGATGAGAAAGATAACCTTGGGCAACAAAGCATATGAGTGTGGCTAGGCATGGTGGCTCATGTCTGTAATCCCAGCACTTGGGCAGGCCAAGGTAGTAGGACTGCTTGAACTCAGGTGTTCAAGACCAGCATGGTCAACATAGTGAGGCCTCATCTCTACTAAAAATCAAAAAAATTAGCCTGGTGTGGTGGGACATGACTATAGTCTGAGACACTTGGGAGGCTGAGGTAGGAGGACCACTGGAGCCTGGGAGATAAAGGCTACAGTGAACTATGATTGTGCCACTGCACACTAGCCCAGGTGACAGAGCAAGACCCTATCTCAAAACCAATAAACATATGACTGAATCCACCACTAAGGCAGGAATGGAGGAGGAGAGCAGCTGAGATCAGCATGTTCATGAATTTCCTGGTATTAACTATGATTACTTCACCAAAAAGTACAGATATTTATACACACTTACACATTTAAATGGCCTTGCCTTTCAGTCTTCCTAATTTTCTCTAATATTGCCCAGTTTTCTTTTTCAGTTCCTTCATCCTCCAACTTCTTCTCACTAGTAGGCTCTTCTTTCATCTCACAGTGATCTAAGTCTTCTATATCCTGCAAAAAGAAGAAAAATATTAGCCGATTCAACCCACTTTCCTTCAGCAGTTTCTTATGCCAAAACTTAAATTATTCTTGACTCGGTGGGGGACAGGAAACAGAATATATCTATCCTATGGGGAGAGAGAAAAAGCCCCCACATTCCATTCAAGAGGCTCCCACCTTTTATATCCTGTATTTTATTTAAAAGCTAGACTCTGGGGAAAGCAGATTTAAAAGCTTTACAAAGTCACAACTATTATGAAATAAGCCATCATTTATTTATTTACTTCTTTAATTTATTTTATTTTTTTTTTGTACGATAGAGTCTCAGTCTGTCATTTAGGCAGGAGTATAGTGGGGCAATCTCTGCTCACTGCAACCTCTGCCTCCCAGGTTCAAGTGATTCTCATGCCTCAGTCTCCTGAGTAGCTGGGATTACAGACGTACACCGCCACACCCAGCTAATTTCTTTGTATGTTTAATAGAGACAGGGTTTCAACATGTTGGCCAGGCTGGTCTCAAACTTATGACGTCAAGTGATCTGCCCACCTCAGCCTCCCAAAGTGCTGGGATTACTGGCATCAGACACCACGCCCAGCCAAGCCATCTTTTAAATCTCCTCTTAAGAGGAACCTTTGAAACAGTTTAGCAGCAGGTGTCAAGAACCTTAAGTGTTCATAGTTTGTTCCAGACACTCGACCTCTAGAACTGTATTACAAGAAACTAGTCTAAGAGGTAAACACAAATTTAGGCATAAGGATACCTATTTCAACCTTGCAACCACAAAAACAAACACAAAATCTGCATGTGAAAAAATAGCAAAACAGTTAACTCAATTCCATGAACTATTAAGAAGCCACTGAAATATCAACACGGCATAATTTCTCCTGTATCGAAAAACTTTGAAATGAAAAATGGATTACACAAAGGAATAGAAAGAATTTAAATTATGCTGAAATAAGCACAGAAAAAGACCAGAACAACTTACATTGAAATGTTAATTTCAATTAATTTTAGTTGTTATCTCTGGAGACATTTGGTGCTTTCCCCTAATTTCCAAGTTTATGGTTTTATGTAGTAAGCACCTATTGATGCTAATAACTTAAAAATAAGTTAGAAAAAGAATTTGATGTCAGGTGCTCAGGAGGCTGAAATAGAAGCATTGTTTGGGCCCGGGAGTTCGAGGCTGCAGTAAGCTATGATCATGCCACTGCACTCCACCCTGGGTGACAGCGACCCTATCTCAAAAACTAATAATAATTTCAAAAGAATTTGAATAATACCCCACAGAATAACATCTTTATTCACATCATTCTGCTCCCTCCCTTCCCATACTATCTGTTCTTACATATATACAAACATATGCAGAATTGTTTAAATCCTAACTTTTTTCAATTACCTTATATTTCTACTTCAATTGCCAAAATCTCTAAAGGGGTAGTTTATATTTATCTCGATTTTTTTTCCCAAGCCAGCTAATTCACCGACTTCTAGACCAGACTACCGACTACCTTCACTCAAACTCTGCCCATGAGTCTGTACTTCATGGAGCTCCCTTCTCCCTGTGTGCACCTTTCAGCCCTGATCTTCTATCCACATTTGTTTTCCCCACAATGCTCACAAATGCCTTTGGCCTGTATTTCCACCTGTACCTTCAACCTCAGTCATGTTCCCATCCACAAAACTTCTCCACCTAAGTATTAATCAGCACATCCCAAACAGAATTCAACATATCTTTCTAAAACAATATTCTCAGCACACGATTCCCTGCTTAAGGCCTTCTTATCAACAAACACACCAAATAGAAACATGCCTGTCTCAAATTCAAGACTTCTGTCCATCTGTCTTTTCTGGACAATCTTGCTTTCCATGACTTCAACACATCAACCTTCCTTCTCAAAAGAAAAGCATCCAGTGCACCCAAACACACCATGTCCAAAGTTGCTCTGGGCCTGTTCCCACATTATTTTAGGAGCCTAGAATATCTGCTTTTCACCTGTCCTAATCTGACAACTCCAAAGTCCAGTCTCCTACCTTTCTAGATTTCCCTCAAAGTTGCGGTCCCTTGTTTTTTATCTTGTGAAGGGAAAATGAAAGGGTTCATGAACTTTAGTACAATGGCTGCCTGACCTATGGAAAAGGTTTAATGTTTTCATGCAGTTTATTCCACCTAAGCTAAACTGCATAAAAACATTAAAACAGACTTTCATTCTAATTGGACAATTTTAAGAAGTATTTTACTCCCAGACTCATAAAACAAGCCTACAGCCAGGCACAGTGGCACACACCTGTAATCCCAGCACTTTGGGAGGCTGAGGTGGTGGATCACTTGAGGTCAGGAGTTCAAGACCAGCCTGGGCAACAGAGTGAGACTCAAACGCTAAAATAAAAAATAAAAATAAAATAAAATAAAATAAAATAAAATAAAAATTAGCTGGACGTGGGGCACCGGCCTGTAGTCCCAGCTACTCAGGAGGATCGCTTGAACCCAGGAGTTCAAGGTTACAGTGAGCCATGCCGGCGCTACTGCACTCCAGCCTGGGTGACAGTGAAACCCTGTCTCAAAAAACAAACAAAAGCAAGCCTACAACACTACTTTTTTAGTTCTGAAGCACTCTAAAGTACATTTTAGATTAATAATTTCCAAACCAAGAAAATGAAAGCCTAAATTAATTATAAGACCTCAAACAGAAAAAAATCTTTTAAAACAATCAATACCATGGAATTCACATACATTCTATTTGGTCAATGCAGAGACATAGATCTTTGTTCTGAAGTTCAAATTTAAATGCAAGGCTTCAGAGCCAGAAAACATCTAAAATTATACCCATGACTGACAACTGGCCTAGGCTCAATGTCTTTGGAATTTGCTCTACTAAATTTGCTACTGTTTGAATGTATTCCCTCCAAAATTCAACTGTTGCCAATGTGATGATATTAAGAGGTAGGACTTTTAAGAGGTGATTAGGCCAAGAGGGCTCCTTTCTCCTTCATGGGATTAAGGCCCTTATGAATGAGGCTTCACACATTGGACCAGCTTGCTCTCCTGCCCTTCTGCCTGCTACCATGTGAGGATAAAACAAGAAGGTCCTGAGACACCAAATGTTGATATTTTCATCTTGGATTTCCCAGACTCCAGAACTGTCAGAAAATAAATGACTGCTCTTCATAAATTACTCACTCTCTGTTATTCTGTCACAATACTATAAAACAGACTAAGACAAATTTCTTTGAATGATTTTTCAGCAAGAGACAGTTTCACTACTTCTGACAGGTAGTCTCTAAAATATTCTGAAATTCTCCTTTTATGCAAACATAAAATTTTTTAAACTCAGTAGTTTCTCTTCCAAAAAATAACCAAATACAGGTTAAGTACTGATTAGTATTAAATATAATTTTAGTGTTAAAACTTAAGAGCTTTTGTTTTCCAGAAAATAAAATCCAAGAATTCAGATAAAACAATTTGCTCAAAGGCATATCATGAGTTAGAGGTAAAGCCAGAATTTATAAATTACATTCCATTCCAAATACGATGTGCTTTCAATTATTCCATATTAATAGTTCTTTATAAAGGAGATTAGAGAATTACTCAAATGTCCAAAACAGAAGATATTTATGATATATATATATATATATTTTTTGAGACAGAGTCTTGCTCGTCACTCAGGCAGGAGTGCAGTGGCACGACCTTGGCTCACTGCAACCTCCACCTCCCGGATTCAAGCAATTCTCCTGCCTCAGCCTCCTGAGTAGCTGAGATTACATGTGCCTACCACCATGCCCGGCTAATTTTTGTACTTTTAGTAGAGACAGAGTTTCGCCATGTTGGCCAGGCTGGTCTCAAACTCCTGTCCTCAGGTGATCCACCCGCCATGGCCTCCCATAGTGCTGGGGTTACAGGCATGAGTCACCTCACCTGGCCAAAATGTTATTCTTATATAAAATACCCACTTCATCCATCTCTTCTTCTTCCTCTTCTTTTGAAGTCACTTCTTCTGTTGTCCCATTCTGAAATAGAGAAAGAATCTGCCAGAACTACACAGAACAAATATGCACCTTAGAAGACTGGTGTCATAGCTTTAGTGACAAACTCCCAACCATCTGTCACTGCAGTCCCACTACCAGAGAGCTTATTAAAGTTAAAATGTGCATTTTTAAATCCAACTTTGATTTGACAAACAACAGTTCTCAGCTTTTAAAAATGAAACAATTTTGAACAATTCAACTTAATGAATGCCTTAGGAATAAAGAAAAGCAATCAGTCAAATATAAAGCAAAACTGAAAAAAATTTTAAAACATAATCTAATTTAAAATAAGAAAACATTTTATTTGTACGGCTATGTGCATAAGATCAAAGGATTATTTTGTTTAAAATAAATACACCAAACTATCAATTCCTCAAAACAGCTACATTTTTAACTTTGAAAAGCCTGAATCATTACATAAATTCAATTTCCTTACATTTTAAGAGGTCAGATGTGTTACTTATAATAGACACTTCCCAAAACTAAGAGTATGAATTGATTACCACCTCACTATAAAGCAAATTGTCTTTTTAAAAACATGTAATTTACTATCAAATATCTCTCTACAAGACACAATTTACCAATTAACACAAATTACAATTATCAAGTTCAGAAATTAATCTAATGAATTTTTAGGAGGGGCCTTCGTACCCAGTTTGGGCAAAGGTCAAAAGGCAAGCTTCCTGGCCAGGACACAGTATATAAATACATCTTTAACCATAAAGGCCAGTTCAGGTTAGAACCCAGAATATGTAAAAGATCAAGAAACTAGGATCCAGAAATGAAGACCAACAAAGGTCTCAGCAGTATCTAAGCAGCAGCTTCCAAAATGTAATTCACCCCTTCTTCATTTCCCTAAATTCTTATATTCCAAAGCCAATTATTCTGGGTATCTAAAGAATATATACCTAGCCTCAAAGTCCCAAAGAATTTGGTTGCATCAGTGGTTGAAAGAGCATTTTTGCAGAAGAATCTGTTTTGCAAAAGCTCTCTGAGGTGATTCTCACATGCATCTGGGTCTGTCACCACTAGCCCAGTTACTAGCCTTAATTTTACACGAGATAGCTGAGCCCCTACCCCATCAAAAAGGGGAAGTAATTTAATCAAAACAAAAAGTGAGTTAGGGCTGTGAAATCCTAAGATTAATTTCATTTCAAGATGTGACCTGGTCCTCTTTCTAAAACCCCACTGAAATGACAGAACTTTATAAAAGAGAGTAAGTCGGCTGCAGCAGCAGCAAAACAACAAATACAAAAAGAATACCCTTAGTGAACCAAAACTATAAGGACATGCTAGAAGATACAAAGCAGATGAAATCAGACTGCTGGGCGCGAGAAAGCCACAAACACAATCCAAATAATGGAGGGGCCACTTCTGTTTGAAGGATCAAACATTCTTCACTGTACTGTCCCAACTATAGTTGGTAAGGATCACTCTGGTAATAGGAAGCCTGTCTTGATGGTCTCTCACTATCAGTGTCAAAACCAGAGAGAAAAGACAGAATGCTTTTTCAATGTAACTCAATGCAGCATCAAAATCTTATAACAGGCTCTGCCTCTTCCTTTAAGCTCAAAATCTGGAAAGCTCACCAACCAGCACCTCCCCACCCTCATGCCACAGGAAGAGCACAGGTCTGCCAACAAGGAGGGGGAGGCCACAGCAGAAAAGAGTGACAATTCTGAAGACACTCATAACAACTCATACTGATCAAAGGTATACCTCACCTATAAATGAACAGATAACCATGTATCATCAGAGAGTTGAAGAAAATTAGCAACCTGAAAGGAAGGTGCCAAGTCAAAGAAGCACGAATGACCTGAAGCACTGCTAATGAAGGAAATAAGCAGAATTTTAAAACCTAATTGGAATCTTTAGCAGTAATTGAGAAGATACTGTATCCACAAAATACAAAACAGATTACTATGCAAAAGACAATTCTAGGAGGTAAAAATAAGACCTCTAAACCAAAAAAGAAAACAAAACAAAACACCAGTTGCAGAAGGGCCAGGACACAATGGACATGACTCAGCAAAACATTAAGGTGGCTCACATCTGTAATCCCAGCACTTTGAGAGATCAAGGCAGGCAGATCACAAGGTCAGCAGATCGAGACCATCCTGGCTAACATGGTGAAACCCTATCTCTACTAATAATACAAAATTTAGCTGGGCATGGTGGTACATGCCTGTAGTCCCAGCTACTCAGGAGGCTGAGGCAGGAGTATCATTTGAACCTGAGAGGTGAAGGTTGCAGTGATCCAAGATAGCACCACTGCACTCCAGCCTGGGTGACAGAGTGAGACTCTGTTTCAAAAAAAAAAAAAAAAGTAAAACCCCCACACTTTACAGTTACACAGAAAATCATACTAACTATCAGAAAGAACTAAGAATCAGATAGGCATCAGACTTTTCATCTACAACAATATCAGAACATAAAAGTATAAAGACCTGGAAAGAAACTCAATTATGATCTCAGAATTCTATATCTAGCTCCCTCAAGACAGGAAGCATATCTGTGTATGTTTGCCTCTGGATTCTCCACACCGATATGGATGGAGTACTTTATACAGAGTCAAATATTTGTTGAACAAATGATAACAGACAGCAAGTGCACAGAACACACTCCATACACATCCCCACAAACCCTTTCTAGGAAAAAAAAAACCCAGGATATTATTCAGGGATATACTTGAGGGGCAGGGAGCAGGAGACATAATACAAGAAGAGCAATAAGCAAAGGCAACAGTAACACCAATAGTGAAGTCTAAATGATTGCTGAAAATCTCACTGAAAGGTCACAGGCCATATTCTCTGACCATATTGATGCACTAAAAATACCTCAAAAGCCACCTGAAAATGCTTTTTAAATTTTTTTGTTCTAGATAACTCTTGGGTAAAAGAAGAAATTGATCCTCATGCCTCAGTCATCCAACTCCTAAGTATGAGCCCCAGAGAAATGCTGGCACAAGGGTACCATGAAATACAGACAAGAATGACCATAGCAGCAATCGCTGTTCCTAATAACACTGGAAACCACCCACATGTCTGTATCTAGTCAAGGGGATAAATGGTATGGTGTATTCAAACAATGGAGTAAATACAGCAATGCAAAAGAACTATAGCTACACACAATAGGAACAAATTTCACACACAACGTTGAGCACAACAAAGATATGAAAAAATACATATACTATGATTTTCAAAAGCCCAAATAATAGGCAACACTACACTGTATTGTTGAAGGATGCATATATGAGTGATAACACTAGAGAAACATAAGGCAAGATGAGCGTACAGAGGCATGGTGATCAGGAAGCAGCCTGCAGAAGGTTTCTGTAGTGCAAGCAATGTGCCTTCTCTTCACCTTGGTGCTGGCTAGGTATTAGTTCCCAAGTACTCGCTCTAACTATATGTTACACTAAGCTTATGTTTTACATAATTTCAATACATGTCTTTTTTTTTTTTTTTTTTTTTTTGAGGTGGAATTTCACTCTTGTTGCCCAGGCTGGAGTGCAGTGGCGTGATCTCAGCTCACTGCAACCTCTGTCTCCTGGGTTCAAGCGATTCTCCTGCCTCAGCCTCCCAAGTAGCTGGGATTACAGGCATGCACCACCATGCCCAGCTAATTTTTGTACTTTTAGTAGAGACGGGCTCTCTCCATGTTGATCAGGCTGGTCTCGAACTCCCAACCTCAGGTCATCCACCTGCCTTGGCCTCCCAAAGTGCTGGGATTACAGGCATAAGCCACCATGCCAGGCAAATAAAAAGTTTTAATAGTAAGAGCAATGTGAACAGAGGATGCAATAAAATGACTTGGAAAATACAAACTATTTAGAAAATAGATTTTAAAACTTGTGCAATGAAGTCAAACAGCACCCAAAGAAAATGTATACCCTTACATGTTTGTTTAAAAAGCAGGTTAAATTACATTGATCCACTAAACTAGAAAAAGCAAAATAAACAAAAAGGGGAAATAATTAAGACATAAGGAAAATGTGAAAACAACCCACTAAATTTAAAAAATAAAACTAAAGGAGGATTCTTTCAAAAGCCTAAGATAATAAAACAGTCACGCCTCTGATAAGTGATCAAGATAAAGAAAACTTTGAAGACAAAAGGGCATATAGCCACATGTGAATATGATGCAAAAAGTGAAAACTTTACACATCTTTACAACACCTTAGAAGTATGGATGAAGTGTTCATTTCTTTAAAGAATCTACACTTACGAAAACTAACTGAAGAAACGGAAAATCTGGAGACCAATACGCAGAAGAAGGAAAAAGACAAAGACTCATCCTCCAAATTGGACATTTATTTAAACCAGGGTTTGTCAGCCTCAGCAATACTGATATCTTGGGCCAGACAATTCTTTGTGAGGGTTCTCCTGGTGTGTTGTGGGACATTTAGTAACATCCCCTCTACCCACAGAATGCCAATAAGACCTCCCGACCGTGACCAGTTGTGACCACAAAAATGTCTCCAGATATTTCCAAATGTCCCATGGGAGGCAAAATATTCCTGCAGTTGAAAATTACTGTGTAAACTAGATCTACATCCTAGGTCTTAGAAAAAAGATGTAAAGCTTCCCAAGTTAGCCCTGCATGCCCTTGATACTGAAATGAAATAAGAGCCTTAAAAGAAACAAACAAAACTATAATCTTATTTTATACAGAAGTAAAAATGCAAAAATAAAATATTAACATAGCCATTCTAACAGTGTTTATTATAGGAATGCAAGGATGATTCAACATTAGGAAAATCTCATCAGGTAATTCACAAATTATATTTCACCATAGAATTGTAGGCACAATCATGAAAAACAAGGTAGCTCTATATGCATTAAGTCCATGTGATATTCAGTGAAAAACACAAGTTGCAGATGTCTTACAGAAAAAAAACTGAACACTGAACACATATTTCCACCATCTGCTCTTTGTCCTGAGGCTCCACTAGAAATACAGTGAAGAATAAACATTATATAAACACACAATTACAAAAAAAAGAAATGGGGTTACCCACAGAAGAGAATTCACCTCCATTAGAAAATGACAGTAAATGGAAAATGGTTAATTAATGGAGCAAGCAAACAAAAGTGGAGGTCAGGGGGATACCAATAAGAAGGAAGCTAATTTGTCCCACAGCAACCTGGAAAGGTTCTAGACTCAGACACCAGGTACCCCCGAGAGTCGACTGATAGGCAAGACTGAAAACAGACATCAATCAAAAGCCTATATAGAGAACATTTTCCAGGCCCTGAAACACACTGCTCTCCTCCATCTCCTTAAGCAGAATCCAAGCAAACATATCTACCTCAGACAAGAGAATGTAGATTTCACCTCCAGAGAAATGGAGTAGTTCCAGCCATCATTTATGATTGCACCGGGAGATAAGATAGAGGGGTAGAGGATGACAATTAGGAATCAGCATATGTTCCCCCCTAAAAGCTATCAGTTGCCAAGTCTTGGCCATGAAGAACTCCCAATCAATTTTTTATTTTTAATTTTTATTTAATTTAATTTATTTATTTATTTATTTATTTATTTATTTATTTATTTGAGAAAGGATCTTGCTCTTTCACCCAGGCTGGAATGCAGGAATGCAGCAGCATGATCACAACTCACTTTAGCCTCAACATCCTGGGCTCAAGCGATCCTCCTGCCTCAGCCTCCCAAGTAGTTGGGACTACAGGTCACCACACCTGGCTATTTTTTTTAATTTATTTTTTTAAAGATGGGGTCTCACAATATTGCCCAAACTAGTCTTGAGCTCCTGGGCTCAAGTGATCCTCTCATGTCAGTCTCCCAAAGCACTGAGATTGTAGGTATGAGCCACCACTCCCAGCCTCCCAGTCTTTTAGTACCTCTCTCAAATATGAATGAACAAAAAAGAGAATTAAAAAACAAAGAGTACATGCCAGGCACAGTGGCTCACGTCTTTAATCCCAGCACTTTGGGAGGCCAAGGTGGACAGATCACATGAGGTCAGGAATTCGAAACCAGCCTGACCAACATGGAGAAACCCCTTCTCTACTAAAAATACAAAAATTAGCCAGGCATGGTGGCACATGCCTGTAATCCCAGCTACTCAGGAGGCTGAGGCAGGAGAATCGCTTGACCCCAGGAGGCAAAGGTTGTGGTGAGCCAAGATCACACCATTGCACTCTATCCTGGGCAACAAGTGTGAAACTCCGTCTCAAAAAAGACTACAAATGATAAGCAACATAGAATAGATACTTAAGGAAAGGTTTTAAGAAGAAAAATAAGACCAAAATGAACTAAGAAAAAAATTTATTAAAGAACAAAGAGATGCTAGGGTGAAGACAAAAGAGTATCAAAATCACTTCATAAAGACACTTGTGAATATATTACAAGAATAAAACAAAAATAGAATATGAATAAGGAATAATCAGAGAAGAAAAAGTTCTTAGAACTCAGGGTTCATCTTGGGAGTTGGTCCCCAATGAGCCATACCTCCTGTTATCATGTTCTTGGACAGGCCCATCCCACAGTGAATCTGGGTTGGCCTCAAGACTCACTTTAACCTATAGAATTTGGTAGAAATGACACTGGACCTGTTCCAGGTCTAAGCCTTAAGAACACTGGCAGCTCCACTTCTGTGCTTCTAGTAGCCAAAATAAGTACCAACTATCCTCTTGGAGAAAGAGAAACCACTTGAAGAGGCCTGAAAGGATGAGATGCTATGCAGAGAGGAAGGCCACATGAAGAAACACCAAGGCAGCAGACCTGTGGGTGAAGTAGCCGTCTCAGACATTCCACTGCAGCTGAGAATCCAAATGACCAGTCCCTGACACCATCTAACCACACAGTGAGAGATGCCAAATGAGACCAGCAGAAAAACTGTCCAGCTATCCCCAGTTAACTGATACAGTAGTGACAGATAGGCAAATGTGTAGTTTTATGCCATTAAGTTTTGGGAAAATTGGTTAAGCAACAATAAATAACCAAAACAAAACTTAAAGTTAAGACTGTCCAAATAAAATTTCCTAAAAGTCAAAAAATAAGAAAAATATTCCAGAACTTAAAATTAAAAAAAATTAGAAACGACCTGAGATACAAGACTCAAACAAGAGGACTAAAATCCAATTAACAGACACTTCAAAATGAACAAATAAAATGGAAAGGAGAAAGTTAACAAAAATATGACAAGATTCAAGATTCCAACATTGAAAGAGCCTATCCATAGGCCTATCGATTCAGTGTGCCCAGCACAGTGAATGAAAAAAGACACACACTAAGTACAATGTTGTGCTATTTCAGCTCACCAAGGGAAAGACAAACTCCTAAAAGCTTCCAGAGAGAAAGTCATGCATAAATGAGTGAAACTCAGGGTGACATGAGGCTTCACCACCATGACTGGTTAGAAGACAACAGCACAGACTTTGAAATTCTAAGGTAAAATTATCCTCAACCTAGAAGTACATAATCAACCAAACTATCAATCAAGTGTGAGGGTAGACTATGACAAAAGTGAATAGTGATGGAGATGGGCTAAGTACCAGGCACTGTTCTAAATGGTTTACATGTACCAACTCATTTAATCCTCATAGCTCCCTAGAAACATAGGTACTAATACTATTACCGGTTCCCCCATTTTGCAAATGGAAATTGATGCATAGAGCAATTATGGAATCAGCCCAAGGGCATACAGCTAAGAAGTAATAGAACCAAGATTCAAACCTATCTCAGACTGGCTCCAAAACCCAAACACTGCATTGTATTTTTTCAGAAGCCAGAGATCAGAAAATATACCACTCCATGCTTTCTTAGGGTTTTACTTGAGGACATAGTCAGGTAAAATGACAAAGGGAAAGCCAAGAAAGATGACATGGGATCCAGGAAACAATGGATGTACTCTAGGAGAGCAGATGAGAAAAACCTCAAGATGACATGTGCACAGCCAACCCGAAGAACAACCTGCCAAAATGGGCACACAGGAGCCAAAGGCTTTGGAAGAGAAGGAGATCTCACAGAAAGGGCTACAACAGAATTTTTTAAATTAAAAATTACTGTTATGAGAAGACATTGCAAAACAAAAAGCAGCACCAAGAAAAGAAATATTCTATCCTAAATATTCTAGAAAATTTGGCTTCTCGAAGTCCTAATGATAATTAGTGATTACTTATATCACTAAAGATAATATCTGAGGAAGGCAAAGTGGGTGGTATAAGAGCTAAATTCTCATGTATTATACTAAAAAGTCAATAGCTGATGCCTAAATAGGTAAATCCAGGAAGAAGTTAGGGGTAGTGGTGAGCTAGTGGAGATTTCTGTTGCTTGTAGGAGATAATATTTGGGTGAGTCCTTAAGAAGCATAGACAGATTTAAGGAGATGGCATTTCTAGGTGAAGGCAAGTCAATAAGCAAAGACAAACAATGAAAGAAGCAAGAACATTTATGGACCCCAGGAATATTCACAACAAAAAGCTGGTGTTAGGGAAAAGGGCAATTGTTTGCCTGCCATACTAAATACCAGCAGTTCCAAAGAATGAAAATGTTATTTTTAGTATCTAAAACAGAACAAACAATTCAATAGGAACAGAAAAACTAACTTCTAAATAAGTTGAATAATTTTTAAAAAATCATCCTAGTTTGACTTTTGTTTGAGACAATTTATTTTAGCTCTTGAACACTACAGAATTTTTACTTTACCTGACCCATGGGTAGTGGTTGATCTGGCATCTCAACATTCGGGTGCTTAGGAAGGTTATATAATCTGCAGAGTCCACATATCAGCCACTTCCATTGCTGATGAAGCTACAAAACACATTTCAGTAAATAAGCATTATGTTAAAGAGCACTGAGAAGACATCAATAATGGTATGACTACTGCAATCAATCCAGTAGGAAATAAAAAAGTTTGTTACTGCTCAACTGCAGCTTACAGATATTTTAAAAAACTCTTTGAAATATTTTCAGGAGCCTCTAGTTTAAGAAAGTTACTATGGCTTGGTGTATAATCACTACAACTGATACCTAATGGAATGACAACAATAAAGGCAGAGGAAGGAAGTTCCAGACATTGTCCAATTTCTCATTGCTACCTTGTTTTCTTAGAAACTTACAACTTCAAACAAGAGAACATTACTGCATTAATGAGGTGACCCAAAAAGGAAAAAGAAAAAAAACCACACACAGGCAGTATTGTTACACATGGATTATAAAATTATATATTCCAGTCATAGTTAAAAGTACAAAAGCAAATGTGATCCAGCAGACAGAGCCTGGAAATCTAGATGACCTTGGATATCATATCTAATTCCTTGAGTTTCAGTGTACTCATCTGTAAAACAAGGAAATGAAAACTTCCCCGGAATAGTAAAGATTAAATGAAACCTGTAAAACACTTGATACTTAGTAGGCTCTTAAGTGTCTGTCTAAAAAATAATCATTCACTAGGAAACTGCAAAAAATAACTGTAAGTTTCCATGTTTAAGTCCAAATTGTATTGTAAGATTGTTTACTTTAAGGAAATAAGCAAGGTAAACTATGTGCACAAGTGTGGTTTTCATTGTTTAAAATGTTTTTTAATGTATAAGGTGACTCATATGGGATCTAATAAGCACTCACTTCACTTGGTCAGGAACAATTTTCTGGGTGTCTCTGACCAAGAAAAGAGATGAAGAGAAAGAAGCAGGTTTACAAATGACAAAGTAAGAAGACACAGGATTAGAATGGGTTAACAAAGCAAAGAATAAGCCTTCCCAAAGTGAACAATGAAGCAAGTGGAAACAGGAAGGTTGAACCGTAAATTAGGATACACCAAAAATCCTCATGCTTAAAAGGAAGCCAAGCCCCAGTGTGGATTCATTATGCACGCAATGTGCTCTGTTTTGTGCTAAGTATATAATGAAGATGAGGCAGGGTGATCTGGACACAGACCTGCACACTCTGACCTCTGGCACAGAAGGGGCTACAGGAGTGCTGGGGTGAAACAGGAATTAAAAGAAATTAAAGAATGTGAAACTACCATCAGAGTGAACAGGCAACCTACAGAATGGGAGAAAATTTTTGCAATCTTCCCCTCTGACAAAGGACTAATATCCAGAATCTACAAAGAACTTAAACAAATTTACAAGAAAAAAATCAAACAACCCCATCAACAGAGACTTCTCAAAAGAAAACATTTATGCAGCCAACAGACACATGAAAAAACACCCATCATCATTGGCCATCAGAGCAATGCAAATCAAAACCACAATGAGATACCATCTCACACCAGTTAGAATGGCAACCATTAAAAAGTCAGGAAACAACAGGCGCTGGAGAGGATGTGGAGAAATAGGAACACTTTTACACTGTTGGTGGAACTGTAAACTAGTTCAACCATTGTGGAAGACAGTGTGGCAATTCCTCAAGGATCTAGAACTAGAAATACCATTTGACCCAGCCATCCCATTACTGGGTATATACCCAAAGGATTATAAATCATGCTGCTATAAAGACACATGCACACATATGTTTAGTGCGGCACTATTCACAATAGCAAAGACTTGGAACCAACCCAAATGTCCATCAATGATAGACTGGATTAAGAAAATGTGGCACATACACACCATGGAATACTATGCAGCCATAAAAAAGGATGAGTTCATGTCCTTTGTAGGGACATGGATGAAGCTGGAAACCATCATTCTCAGCAAACTATCGCAAGGACAGAAAACCAAACACCACATGTTCTCACTCATAGGTGGGAATTGAACAATGAAAACACTTGGACACAGGATGGGGAACATCACGCACTGGGGCCTGTTGTGGGGTGGGGGGAGGGGAGAGGTATACCTAATGTAAATGATGAGTTAATGGGTACAGCATACCAACATGGCACATGTATACATATGTAAAAAACCTCCACATTATGCACATGTATCCCAGAACTTAAAGTATAAAAATAATAATAAAAAAGAATGTGTAAGCAAACACTGTTTGTTAAAAAAAAAAAAACCGAATTCCCCCTAAGAAAGAAAAAGAGGTGGAGTCCTTTAAAAATTAACTGCCTGTTTTTCTGAGGCTAGTGAACCTCATCTCTCCTCCTCTCCCAGGCATTGTGAAGACCCTGTTTCTCTAGCTGTGCAGCTGCAAGGTCACTAGACAGATAAACTCAAGTTGTAAAACATGTTTTTCCTTGAAAAGTAAGAAATAATGTAATGCATGTCTCAACTGAATAACTGTCTTTGTTTCTTGCTTCTGTAATATGCTTCCCCTTGCACAGATCTCCCCCGAACCCACAAAATGCTTAAAAGGTAACCTGACTCTTTGTTCAGGGCTCAGTCCTTTAGATGTTAATTTGACTGGGCCGGTGCACCTAAATAATAATATATATCCTCCTCAACCCCTCAGTCTCTCGGATTCCTAAATTATCCCACTGCAGTGGGAGAGAGGCAGCAGGTTAGTGAGTCATACCAAGCAACAAGAAAGACAGGGTAGTGGCCAGGCACAGTGGCTCACACCTGTAATCCCAGCAATTTGGGAGGCCGAGGTGGGTGGATGACCTGAGGTCAGGAGTTTGAGACCAGCCTGGCCAACATGATGAAACCTCATCTCTACTAAAAATACAAAAATTAGCTGGGCATGGTGGCAGATGCCTGTAATCCCAGCTACTCAGGAGGTTGAGGCACGAGAATCACTTGAACCCAGGAGGTGGAGGTTGCAGTGAGCCAAGATTGTGCCATTGTACTCCAGCCTGGGTGACCAGAGCGAGGCGAGACTTCATTGCAAGAAAAGAAAGAAAGAAGAGAGAGAGAGAGAGAGAGAGAAAGAGAGAAAGAAAGAAAGAAAGACAGGGTAGTACATTTTCCATGAATTTCAATTTTACTCTCTTCGCCACCACGCACACACACAAAAAGCATTTGAGGGATGGGAAGAAGAAACTGAGATCACAGGGAAAATAGTAAGAACATTCAGAAGGACAGGTCTTAGAAATTTACTAGTTTGGGGGGATAAGAGAACAGTAGCATATAAAAGAACGCTAAGACAGTTCCCAGGTTTAGGCATGGGTGACTACTTTGATTATTTCATTTTGTCCCACTCACAATGACAAGGAGAATTATTGATGGAACACATGATGGGGCTGATAGGGTGCTAGGAGGTGGATACATGAAAATTTAAATATCATCTTGAACACCCACGTCATGCCAAGTGAGATTCCCTAACATATATGATATACAGACAGAAATATGGGTATGAAACTCTGGAGATGAATACAGATTTAGGAATCCCTGGAACACAGGTCATGACTTAAGTAATGGGAGTCAAAGACTACTCAGAGAAAGCACAGAATGAGAAGAGAAGAAAGAAGTAGGCCAAGGAAGAAGAGCTCGGAGGAGACCAAGGCAGGGTGATAAGATCAAAACAGGAGAAAATAATCTGATAAAAGTCCCAGTTGATTATCACGTCCCTTCCCAGAGGATAGGGAAATACCTTTTTTGTCTTTTATACCCAATTATCACAGGTCCTGGCACAGAAGCCACACAGTCTTTTTTAATTGTGTTCTACTATTCACAGTTCCCTGTATCCAACAGGGGAGAAAAAAGCAAGTATAAACTAGCACAGACATAGATGTTTTTACACTGTATACTAAAGGGGTCAGATTATATATAATATTTTATGCCTTACTTTTTTACTTAATATATCTTAGAAGTTTGCACATGCTCTTATGGAAAGACTGGCTGCATTTTTTTTGGTCTACAACAGAATATTCTATTATAAAACTGTACACTATAATTTTTATTTAACCAACTCTTTATTGGTGGACATTAAGAACGGAGGAATGTTTCAACAAGGGAACAATCAACATTAACAAAATACTGCAGAGGGGTCAATTTGGGGACTAAGAGGGGAGCCACTGGATTTGGCAACTAGGAGATAAATTTTAGCGCAACGATGAAGGCAGAATCCAGAGTATAATGAGCTCAGTGAAAAAAGGTGAAGACATGTAGCTTATTCTCTCAAGAAACTAGGTTATGATAAACTGGCAGAGGCTCTAAGAGTGGGAGGTGAGTTGTTTTCTCCTTCATGTAAATACATTTACTTTTTTAAACACTAGGCCCAAATTTATATCCTACTTCATTTAAGTTTTGAACATGTTTATGTTGTATGTATGTTATGTAATATTTTAGACACTGAAAAAAACCTCATTTCTGCTATTATAAAACTGTTATCTTTAGATATTCAGAAGCAGCTTCCTAAAAGGAGGTAGCAGTAATGGAGCTATGTCTATCATTCTTTCTATCAACCCCCTTGCTGGAGATGTAAACATGTGTCCATCAAGCCTTTAATTTTTACCTCTTATCTTCATGGCTCTCCATACAAAACTTAACTCTATTTTGTATGTGTATGTGTGTTTATATGTATATCTATGTCTAGAAAGAGAGAGAGAGAGAGTCTTGTTATGTTGCCCAGGCTGATCTCAAACTCCTGAGCTCAAGCAATCTTCTCACCTTGGCCTTGAAAGTGCTGGGATTACAGGTGTGAACCACTGTGCCCAGCCTCAGCCTTAACTCTTAAAACATCTTCAAACCAATGTTGTTCCGTTCTAATTTTTAAGAATAGATGTGTTTTAACCTACTACAACTTATTTTGACAAAAATTGAAGTTAAGACTCAAACTTCCTCAAATGGCCAGTTCTCCTAAAACTATTTATAGAATAATCTATCTTTTCACTAGTAAGTTAAAACACCACCTTTTCCTTATACTAAATTCTCATTTGCATGACTCTGGTTTTAAACTTCCATTACCTTTATCTGTCTGGCCCAGGGCTAGTCCACAATATTTTATTTAATATCTGGTTGAAAGAGTTTATACTTTATTATTTTTTATTATTTACTCTTCTAAACAAATTTTAGAGTCATTTTGTCAAGTGCCAAAAATAAATCTGCTGGAATTTCTACTGAAATTTGTATATATACACATACATACACAATTTATATATATAAAATACAAAATGTGTATATATACACACACTTTTTTTTCTTTTTTCTTTTTTTTTGAGACAGGGTCTCACTCTGTCACCTAGGCTGGAGTTCACAGGCATGATCTCGGCTCACTGCAACCTCTGCCTCCCAGGCTCAAGTGATCCTCCCTCCTCAGCCTAATGAGTAGTTGGAACTACAAGTGTGTGCCACAGACACCCAGCTAATTGTCATCTACCCGCCTCAGCTTCCCAAACTGTTTGGATTACAGGTATGAGCCACTGTGCCCAGCAGAAATTACATTTATAAATTAATATGAAGACATGGTGATAACTAACATATTTATAACATGAAATCTGCTCATCCAGGAACATAGAATGCAAATCTTTCATTCCACTCAGCAAAATTTTGTCCTGTCCTTGATAAAAGCCCTGCACATCTAAGTTTATTCCTAGGTATTTAATTTTTGCTGAAATACCTGAAAAAATACTTCATCACTATATCTTCTATGTGATTATAGCTAACATTGGGGAAGGCTATTGATTTTTATATAAAAGAACTTTTAACCAGTAATCTTAAAATTTTTTTTTCAGTTGGTTCCTTTGGATATTTTTAGGTAAACAATCATGTCAACTGAAAATAATGATTGTTATTTTTCTATAAAGACTATGACATCCTGGGAAAATACAGTAAATACTTTTTAAAAGAATATAAAATGGCTGGGCACAGTGGCTCATGCCTGTAATCCCAGCATTTTGGGAGGCCAAGGTGGGCAGATCACGAGGTCAGGAGATCGAGACCATCCTGGCTAACATGGTGAAACCCCATCTCTACTAAAAAATACAAAAAATTAGCCGGGCATGGTGGTGGGCACCTGTAGTCCCAGCTACTGGGGAGGCTGAGGCAGGAGAATGGTGGGAACCCAGGAGGTAGAGCTTGCAGTGAGCTGAGATCATGCCACTGCACTCCAGCCTGGGTGACAGAGTGAGACTCTGTCACAAAAAAAAAAGAAAAAGAATATAAAACTATAGAGAATATGACCTCAACTATTTAAACATATGTATAAGGGTTATGTATTTTACTAGCAAAGAAAAAATATATACTGGCAGAAAATGGCCATCATGTCAACTGTCAATAGTGGTTATATTAGGTAGATAAATTATGGGAGACTTTAATTTTTTTCTTTTCTCTTTTCTGTACTTTACTAATTTTCTCAACAATGGTTGCTTATGAGTTTTATAATTTAAAAAAGGTTTTTAAAATTTTTCCAACATGGAAAGTTGTACTTCTTTATATACTAAAACAAGAACAAAACTTCCTATTTGAATACCTTTGACTTTTACTGCAGACTTACAGACCCTTGAAAGAAAAGGCAATCCCCTCCCACTAGTTCTGGTGTCATTCTCCCCTTCTCTCCTTTCACTTCCACCTTGGTCTTTTTTCTACTTCCCACCTTGGCTAGTGGTCACTACCCAAAATGCTTGCTTGGCTTAATGGTTAGAATTCAGGGAAAAAGAGATCCTGAATTCCTAATCTAAACTAAGGTTATACATGTGGGAAATAATAAAGAGAATCCAGGTAGTAAGTAAGATTGGAAGGACTTAAAATACCCAGACTTTAATTCCTCTAATATTATAGTCATTAATCATGCTTTTGTTTTTATCATATCTTAATATTTAATTTCTAAATATAATGTTCATGAGGAAAAGAGAAAATAGCTTGGCTTCTTTCCTCACTGAATTGTTTTTCTTAGCATCTTCTAGACATTCCAGAACTGATGTCAGATTTGGCTCATCATAGTCCACAAACCATATTGGTAAAGAAAATGAAGAGGATTCCTGTTTAACACAGAGACACCTATGTTAAACATTACATACAGACTAACCCAAATATGCAATTAAACCACACCACTAAATGGCAAGATGACCATGGATTTAAACAAAATGTATGGGGGAAAAGGCAACACATTAAATTCATGTGAGGAGCTGGACTTCTGAAACAGCCATTCTCCTTGCATAGCACTGTCTGCTGCTACAGCTCATAGAAGTCAACAATTTTCTTCAACACTGGTAGGCAGCCTCTAAATGGCCCTGATCACCCTCACCTCCTGCCATTCACACCCTTGTAAAATTCCACCCCTGGACCTAGTGACTCACTTCTAACAAAGAGAATACAGCAAAAGTAATAACATCACTTCTGAGATGAGGCTACAAGGAGACTACGATGCCTGCTTTGGTCACCCTTCTCCTGCTCTTTCCATTGCTCCCTCTGATGGAAGCCAGTTGCCATGTGATGAGGTGCCCTATGGAGAGGCCCACATGGCAAGGTATTGTAAAAGGCCTCTGACCAATAGCCATCTAGAAACGGAGGCCCAGTCCAGCAGCCTCTGAGGTGAATCCTGCCAGTGTGAGCTTGGAGACAGATTCTCTCCCTATCCTGCCTTGGGATGATCACAGCCGCCATCAACACCTTCACTGCCTGGTGAGAGACCAAGCCAGTGAACCCAAGATAAACTGCACAGAATTCTGACCCACAGAAACTGTGAGATAATGTTTGTTGTTTTAAGCTGCTAAATTTGTTACAGAGCAATAGATAACTAATTCAAACAGCATAAAATTCTAATATTTTATTCTATCACACAAACCAAGTAATACCAAAAATGCCATTACTATACATGTATTTTCAGAACACAATTACATGTGATTTTTTTTAAAAGCTAATGAAGTAAGCATTATGTGCTTTCACCCACTAATAGACATTTACTCTGTTCTAGGATTTTCCATTATAAATTGGGGAAAAGTCATTATTATTATATATTAGCTTCAGAAGAACTAGGTTCAAGTCATGCAAAACCATTTCGCACAAACTACTTTAGGAAATATTGCTTTAAAAACTGTAATCTGAATGATAGCTGAAGCCACAGAAACCAAATATTTACCAAAGGTTCTTTTAAGAAAACCAAGTTGGCCGGGTGCGGTGGCTCACACCTGTAATCCCGGCACTTTGGGAGGCCGAGGTGGGCAGATCACGAGGTCAGGAGATCGAGACATCCCAGCCAACATGGTGAAACCCCGTCTCTACTCAAATAATAACAATTAGCCAGGTGTGGTGGCATGTGCCAGTAGTTCCAACTACTCAGGAGGCTGAGGCAGGGTAAGAGCTTGAACCCAGGTTTCAGTGAGCTGAGAAGCGCCACTGCACTCCAGCCTGGTGACAGAGCAAGACTCCATCTCAAAAAAAAAAAAAAAAAAAGAAAGAAAGAAAAGAAAAACAAGTTGTATTGAAGGAGCATATCATTAACAGTATATCTATTCAATAATGATTTTACTATTCTCATTCTTCTCATTCCTCTCTTATAGTGTCCCAAATCTCTTTACAGTCTAAAAGAAACTCTTCAGAGTTAATCCTATTCTTTTTTTTTTTTTTTTTTGAAACGGAGTCTTGCTCTGTCACCCAGAGGCTGGATGCAGTAGTGCGATCTCAGCTCACTGCAAGCTCCGCCTCCCGGGTTCACGCCATTCTCCTGCATCAGCCTCTGGAGTAGATGGGACTTTAGGCACCCACCACCATGCCTGGCTAAGTTTTTGTATTTTTAGTAGAGATGAGGTTTCACCATGTTAGCCAGGGTGGTCTCGATCTCCTGATCTCGTGATCCGCCCACCTCGGCCTCCCAAAGTGCTGGGATTACAGGTGTGAGCCTCCATGCCTGTGACAATCCTATTCTTAAAGAATACCACTTACTGACTATTGCATTTTCATCTCCAAATTCTTCAGCATACATTGGGAATACAACATATGGACCATTTTCACATTTTTAGTTTTGGGGGTTTTTGTTTGTTTGTTTGTTTGTTTTGGCTAAAGAAACTGCAACTAGATTTAGGACCTCATTCTATTAGGTTAGTATCTGTCTACTAAACTTCAGCATAAGCAAAATAAAATACATGTTGTTGCTCTGGAGTGAAACCCCTCAAAACCAAATTTTAAAAATTACAAAAACATTAACTGAAATCAAGTTTTTAAAAATCTTGTAGATGAAAAGATATGATATATAGTAGGTTTAAGTACCTATTTCAATGGTTCACAAAGTCTGGCCCTCAGACCCCCAGGTCCAAACTATTTTGACAGGAATACTAACATGGTGACATTTGCTGTAAGGGTGCAGATACAATGGTGGGTAAAAATGCTGGTACTTTAGCATAAATAAAGGCAGTAACACCAAACTACTAGTAGTCATGGTATGACTACTGTGCACGGGAAAGGTTTAAAGGTGTAAAAAGGAAGGGAGGGCCGGGCATGGTGTCTCATGCCTGTAATCCCAGCACTTTGGAAGGCCAAGGTGGGCAGATCACCTGAGGTCAAGAGTTTGAGAGCAGCCTGGCCAACACGGTGAAATCCCGTCTCTACTAAAAATATAAAACTTAGCCGGACATGGTGGTTGCATGCTTGTAGTCCCAGCTACTTGGCAGGCTGAGGCAGGAGGATTGATTGAGCCCAGAAAGTTGAGGCTACAGTGAGCTGTGATCATGCTACTGCACTCCAGCCTGGGTGACAGAACAAGGCCCTGTCTCAAAAATAAAAAGAATGTCTATGATGAAGCAGTGAAAATTTTACATCTTAATCCTTGAATATATCTTTTTAATATTTCAAGTGATGAAATGGGAAGTATACATGAGCATTCCTACAGACTGCCTGAGAAAAAACCCTCATGTGACTAAGTTATGAAGTGAATTAACCACTTTAATGGAATATCATTTTTACTTCAAATGATGACTGAAAAAATTTTATTTCAGCTTGGGTTTTGGGAGACATTTTCTCAAAAAAAAGGAGATTCTGTTATTTCAAGGAAAACAACAGACAGGCCATAATAAAATTCAACAATAAAATTGCTAATACTAAAACTCAAGCTTTTGAACAAAAAAATTAGAATTTTAGAAAACTTATATCCACCATCACTTTCCAGAAGTATTCTGATGAGATTGATGGTGATATTGATGAGTGTATTTTGATATCATATAATCAAACATATCAATATATAGAAGATCTCAGTGAACCATTATTTTTGAACTGAACAATGCATGATGTTATAATATCATGCAAGGGTAAAAGATCCAAAGTTCAAGAAAAATCAAGTTTTGATGGAGTATCAAAAAAGAAGCCAAGGCAACATGGCAAAACCCTGTCTCTACAAAAAATACAAACAATGAGCTAGGTGGGGTAGTATACACCTGTAGTCCCAGCTACTCTGGAGGCTGAGGTGGGAGGAGCACCTGAGTCCCCAGATACTGAGGGTCCAGTGAGCCGTGATCATAGCACTGCATTCCAGCCTGGGAGACAGAGAAAGACCCCATCTCAAAAAAAAGAAAAAGAAAAAGAAGTATCCACAATGATCTAAAATGCCTATCTGTATGAGATTAGCCTTTGTTCACATTTTCTCAAGCAAATATCACTCAATAAATTGAATGCAGGTACAAATGACATATCAAACATCAAAGAAATTTGCAAAAGATGTAAGATTGTACTACTTTGAGTTTAGAAATTTTCTTTTCATAAAAGCATTTATAACAATATTTGGTGAGCTTTTAAAGAATATTTTAAGTATTTCTGATTTAATTTCTAGTGATAAATACCAATAGATATAACCTACATACACAAAAGCTCCTTGGGCCCTCAATATACTTTTAAGAGTGTAAAAGAATCCTGACCCCAAAACTTTGAGAACTGCTGCCTTCCCCTCCACTTTCTTCCTTCCCTAGAATTTCTTCCTTGGAAGAAACATTCCTTTACCATTCTATGTTAACTTACATAGTTCCATTGAGGCCAGTTTTGCTAACTCTCTCCCGTCTTTCCACATCCCTCTCTTGACACAAAACCTAACCAAAGGACTCTACTGGCCCACCCCATTTCCAGTGATTAGCTGTCAGGTGGGCTAAGCCAAGAAAACCTGGGTTTTCACTGAGACTAGACCTCTCCTTTTGGGAGAGATGGAATCACAGGGACAAGGTTGGCCACCTAGGGGTAGTCAGAATCCATCTTGCCTAAATGGGAAGAGGTTAGGCAAGTTTCTAGAAAGCCAAAATGCTTTCTAGAAAGTCAAGATAATTATACTTTCTGCCACGACTGTGAGAATGCCCATTTCATTGCATACTTTCTAACATTTTTACCAATCTGATAAATAAAAGCTGGTACCTAGAAGAAAAAAAGGCTGGGTGTGGTGGCTCATGCCAATAATCCCAGTACTTTGGGAGGCCAAGGTGAGTGGATCAGCTGAGGTCAGGAGTTCGAGACAAGCCTGGCCAACATAATGAAACCCCATCTCTAGTAAAAACACAAAAATTAGCCAGGCATGGTGGCAGGCACCTGTAATCCCAACTACTCAGGAGGCTGAGGCAAGAGAATCACTTGAACCTGGGAGGTGGAGGTTGTAGTGAGCCAAGATCATGCCATTGCCCTCCAGCCTGGGTGACAAGGTGAGACTTTGTCTCAAAAAAAAAAAAGTTTCCATACAATATAATTTGTTCCATCTCTAGAAACCAATGCAGCAATAACTGAAAGCCACCACTTGGAAGGTTTCAAGGATTTAGCTCTACCTGTTGATGTCCAAAGCATTAGTTAAGGTAGAAAAAAAATACACACACACACACACACACACACACACACACACTCTCTCTCTCTCTCTCTCTCTCTCTCTCACCCCTATGTAGTCAGTACCAGGAAACATGAAAGACTAGATGGTACAGTCATCCAACACAAAGCACACAATAACTGAAGGCACTGTAGAGGAGTAACTTATGACACAAATCTACAATATTGTTGAGTGAACATGCAGATTACAAAAAAAAATCTGATTTTTTAAGGGAGAGGGAACACATACAAGCAAAGGAGAAAAGAGATGAGCAGATGACTGAAAGATACAAAATTCTGATAGTGGTACATTCTGAGTGGTAGAATTATTGGTATTACTTTCTAGTTTTGCCTAAAAATTTTCTAAATTTCTTAAAATAAGAACTTTTTGTTACCCATATTATAAAATATCCATCACCCCAGGAAACTTAACCTTGAGCACAAACTCTACAACATGTTCAATGTTTGTTCAGTTTAATATTTAAGAGACAACCTATTTTGAAAGAAATCTAAAATGATGACCAATATTTAAACCTATGCATTAATATTTTTCAATCATATCCTTTACATTTTGTAATTTTGATAAGGTTAAGCTTTAGATCCATCTTGAAAAGATAAGTTTTCTATTTGTCTTTAAAATACGACCCACAATATGCCTGTTTTTAAACAGTGAATGATGCTCAAAAATCACAATATAAATTCAGGCAGTGTTCCCTACATGGAATGTTTAAGTACTTCTAACACTGCTCTTTTTCACCGGTTATGAAAACACAGAACAATTATCTAAGCATCTAATTATTCAGGTCCTTTGTTTCTCCTCCATTCTATTAGTTTTATAGTAATTTTAGGGCCTGTGAGGATGAAGTTCTCTGTGACAGCTACCACAAAGCTTACTATAAGCAGACAAATTTCAAACAAGTTTATCACCACTACCAACCCCACCATAAAACTGTCTCAATCAAGGGCAACACAATTCAAGGTTAGCCAAGACAACCTCTTTACCTGTCACTGCTTAAGAAAAGGATTTTTTGGTCTTAATTAGAAACAATATTCTGTATCTATTTTTCTCCATAAATCCACTGAGACCAATGTGTGGCTCTATCTCAAGCACCAGCAAGCAAAACTGCCTGCCGGTATGTTAGGTTTTTGTATCTTTCCAAATGTAGGGCACAGCTATCTTTTGATATAATTTTTTGAAAACTGATGCACATATTTTTCTTGCAAGTTCAGCCAGGCACGGTAGCTCATGCCTGTAATCCCAGCACTTTGGGAGGCCAAGGCAGGCAGATTATGAGGTCAGGAGTTCAAGACCAACCTGGCCAACATGGTGAAACCCGACTCTACTAAAATTACAAAAATTAGACAGGTGCAGTGGCAGATGCCTGTAATCCCAGCTACTAAGGAGGCTGAGGCAGGAGAATCGATTGAACGTGGGCGGCAGAGTTTCCAGTAAGCCGAGATTGTGCCACTGCACTCCAGCCTGGGTGATAGAGTGAGACTCCTTCTCAAAATTAAAAAAAGAAAAAAAGAATTTCAGATATACAGCAGTTGTAATTTTTCTGAAGGCTGGTTATGGGACACGTTACTTTCATACTTTGCTGTTCAATAAATGTGGGGTGGAGAATAAAGTAAATTGACAGAATTACCATATAAAATAAAATTCTAAGTCCTCTGACAACAAAAGAAACTTATAACACACACACACACACACACACACACACACACACACACACACACACAGAGTTTTCCCTGCTAATCATTTTACATCTAAACAACCAAGTAGCTAACCCAGAGCCCACAAAAGCAGAGTAAAAATTCTAACACTTGGTAAAATAAAAATGCACATATATCCCTGTCATCTAAAAAAAAATGCTTACGTATTCAAAGACAGCAATTACAGCTACTGAGAACATCATTGTTAGCAAACTGAGGCAGAGAAAACAAAGGTGCTGATGAGGATTTGAACCACCTAAGCTGCAGAAACCCACTGGATGGTTTCCTAGGTTCCAAGTTGGCATTATCTTTCAGAACGATCTTCTAGAAGAGATCACATAACACTGTTACAAAGGATCTGGAGAAAGGGACCCTGGCTTCATCACTCTGGCTCTCCAGTCATGCTTTACATTTTCACTTCTTACACTCTCTTTCATAGGAAGTCAATTTACAGGCCTCCATCAAGCCCTTAGAGACCTTTTTGTACTATCCATGACAAGTTCTTGATGTTATGTCTGCACTTCTGACAAATTCTTAGCAGTTAACTTACAAGGCAGTTAAGGTTTTTGTTCAAGCACAATATAGCTAGAATAGGGTCATACATTCAATAAAACAAATATTTACCAAGCATTTATTGAGTAGAAGATAAAAAGCACAAAGCATAATTATAAACTATTCTCCCCTGCCATCATAAAAAAAAAATTAAAAAGCCTTACAGAATACAGCATAACATGACCAAAGCAAAAATAGTGAGGACTAAAGAGGGGAGGAAGGGGAAATATCAGCATGAACTGAATATGACCCAGAAGAGCCTTGATGGTCAGACATGTAAAGACAAATTGGGTAGGGTTAGGGGGTGGCTGTCAGGGGCACATTCTACAGGGGAAAAATAGATGATACAGAAGCCTGAAAGGAAAGCGGGCAGAGCACCTGGACAGGACTCTTACCTGCTGCATCCAGGGTACAATGTGCCTTTCCAGAACACAGCAGCGACCCGGGATAGAGGGATCGCTCAAACAGCACCAGAGGCTGCATTCCAACTTTTCCTCCATCAACAAGCCCGTTTTCATTGTTAGTTTCTCCTTAAACACGATTGGCTGAACATGCGGGAACAAGGAAAACCTGACTGAAGAACGAGGCATTTAAGCTTAAGGGCCTTGGATCTGGGCGCGGTGGCTCAGGCCTGTAATCCCAGAACTCTGGGAGGCAGAGATGGGTCATTTGAGGTCAGGAGTTCGAGACCAGCCTGGCCAACATGGTGAAACCCTGTCTCTACTAAACAACACAAAAGTTAGCCAGGCGTGGTGTCAGGAGCCTGTAATCCTAGCTACTCGGGAGGCTGAGGCAGGAGAATCGCTTGAACCCATGGACTGTCAAGAGACGGAGGCTGCAGTAAGCCGAGATCACCCCACTGCACTCCAGCCTGGGCGACAGAGTGAGACTCCATCTCAACAAGTGCCTGCCACCATGCCCGGCTAATTTTTGTATTTTTAGTAGAGACAGGGTTTTACCATGTTGGCCGGGCTAGTCTAGAACTCCTGACCTCAGGCGATCCAGCTGCGTCAGCCTCCCAAAGTACTGGGATTACAGGAACGAGCACTGCGCCCGGCCAAAACCCCGAAAATCTTGAAGGCCTTTCCCCTTCCCCGCCCGGGCTCAAACAACAGCCGGAGACGCCCTGCCACGCCCCGTCGCGGTCCCGGGGAGCAGGCTGGCTGACTGAGGGCGACCATGGGCCCCGAAAGGGCTGCGGGCGACGCGGGCTCCCACCTCGGGGCGCGGTGACTGGGGCGAGAGGTGCCGGCAGCCCCCAAGCCAGCCCCGCAGCAAGGAGCCAGAGAGACGCGCCCTCCCCCTCCTCCCACCCAAGCCTCCCGCAGTCCCGGCGATCGGGGCCAGGCCAGTCGCGGGAGAAAGGTGCGCGCTCACCCGGCCCGGGGAACCGGGGCCTCTCCTGGGCAGGTTCCCCTTTGTCCCGGGACTCCGGGCTCTTCCTCTCCGCCCTCGCCCTGCCGTGTGAAGCCGCCGCTGGGCGCCTCACCGTGATGTTGCAGTGGAGCCTGAGCTGCCGCGGCGGCTCCTGGTTCTTGTGGAAAATAGAGGACAACAACTTCAGCTTGGCCTTGAACCCTGACACGGACATTTTACTCTCACCTCTGGCGGGAGGGGCGCGGAAGGTGAGCCGGTCGGGAGCCGCTGTCATGGCCGCGACCACCCGCGGGACCTCTCGGCGGCGCTCTCGCGGCTCCGCCTCTCCCCGCTGCCTCAACTCTAGTCGGAGTAGGGCTGGAAAATGGCAAGGGGCACCGAGGCCTCTGCGGGGAGCTGTGTGGCGGCCTGGGCGGCTGCTCCCCTTGTAACAGACTCCACCGACAGGAGGCGCTCCTCCTGTCAAGCCACAGCTTAAAAGGACAACAGCACCACCGCCCCCGCTACCGCCTGGGAAAGGGCTGCCCCTACCCCGCTCCCGTCCCTCTCGTCCCTCACCCCTCACCCCTCACCTCTCACCCCCGCGCGCCCGGTGCGCACCCGTTTCGGCGGGTGCACGAGTCCAGAGCATGTGCGCGCTTCCGGCTGCCCCCTCCTGGCTTTGACCCAGCACTGCTGGACCCATCTAGTCCGTTCCTCACACTCGCGGACTGGAAGCTCCAGGCTGCACAACCACCAACTGGTGTGTGTGTATTTAGGGGCGGGGGGAGGTACAAAACCACCAACTCGTGTGTGTGTGTGTGTGTGTGTGTGTGTGTGTGTGTGTGTGTCTCCCAAGGGAACAGCACTGCTGAGTTCAGGCTATCAGCTCATGGACTGTCAGCAAAATACAGTCACAAGAAGGCTATGTGCTGTTTTGTCTTTTGCAGTGATGTCATGTTGCTCATGTTTTATGTTTTTCAGAGTTCATTAGTTTCTTTTTGTTCTCAGTAATATCCAGCTCAATAGATTGTGTAAGTAGAATACCCCCAAACTGAAAGTCACCTACATAAAATATAGTGAAAAATATGTCACCCACTTAAACTATAGTTGAAAATATGTACTCATTAGTTTTGTGTAGCCAACACTGGATAATGGGTAAGGAAGGGCACAGGATCCCAGGGCTAGACTGCCTGGGTTCAAGTTCCGATTTAGCTGCTTGCTGGCTGTGAAATGCTTGACAGCTTTAAGCCTCAGTTTCTTTTTTTTTTTTTAACTTAATCCCAAATGTGATAGTAAGTCTCAGTTTCTTGATCTGAAAAACAGAAATTATTCAATGAGAGTCCATGTGAAAACTTTAAAGTTTTAAAGCCACTTTCTGGCTCAGGAAAGTCCTCAGCTTTAGCTGTTAAAGTTTTAAAAGCCACTTTAAAGTTTTAAAGCCACTGCCTGGCTCAGGAAAGCCCTCAGCTTTAGCCATTATTAGCTATGATTATTATTGTGCTGGCTACACATGCATTAATGAGGCAGGAAAATGCTCAAGGATAACAACCAAGTATCCAAATTATCTCATCAGACCGAAACAGATGCATATGTTTGCATGCTCATGTTTTAGCTCAGAGCCATTTGTCTAAAAGACTCTTGAACTCAGGGGTCCAGGCAGTATCAACTTTACTTTGCAGTGAAGCCATCACGTTTGTTAATCAATGAAAACGACATAATGCTCTTTTTTTTTTTTTTTTTTTTTAGCACCAACCATGTGCCTAAAGCTAACTGTGTCAAAAAGAGCATGCTTCGAGGGGCTGGAGTGAGCAATTCAACTTGTGGAGAAATAAGAAATAATAGTGTTGAGACAAGAAACATAAAACCGCAGGGTAAGGTAGGAATCACTGAAGGTCAGGCAAAGGAACTGGCATCCAGTAATGAGTCAGGCTTTGACGGCCTCTGGCCCTACAGATGGCTCTTTGGAGAGGAAAAAATTAAGCCAGGCCTGAGGCCACAGATCCTAAGGGACTGCTGGCAGCTCTAGGCTGTCTATGGAAGAGAAGCAGAGGGTGGCACCTGGTTGAAAGAGGGAGCTGGGGGGCATGGCTTGAGCCCGCATTTACAGATAGAGTCCCCTGATTCCTGCAACTGGGGAAGAAGAGCATGCCTGGATCAGGGGACCTCAAATCAGAACTCTTCCCACCCACACCCCTTCTTTTCAGGGCATCTTTCACTGCAAACAACAGATAAACTAGTTAGAAAGCTCAGCAGATTCTCAGGATGGTGCCTAGCGGGCAGGGCCTAGCTACCCTTTGACAGTGACTGAGGGTGATGCCACAGGCCCGTAAGCACACATTGGAAAATCTTTACATCCATGGACACGCCATGCCCCACAGAGACAGCTGTGCAGGGTTCTTTAGGTTTGGGGTGCTCTGCTGGCAGTTGCCTTATAAATATATAGGATTAAAATGGGATGCCCTGGAGCTTAGCTAACCTTTACACCCCACTCTAAAAGGAACGGACTGCTAGTTTTGTCTGCTTTATAAAAGATGGATCTGTCATTGTTTTTAGAACTTTTGGAGAAAGATTTCTTGGGAGGAAGCTATCCTGAACGCTTAGAGACTTTTCTCATTTACTGGCACACCAGCTTTAGAGTCCTAGGTCTTCATCCTGGCTCAGCCACCCTCCAGCTGTGTGAACTTTGAGAAGTTGCTTGACTACACTGAGTCTCGTTGTCACTATGAGTGGAGGTTGCTACGTTGCTACTGTGTGGAGCACCTACCCCCAAGCACTCTTATAAGGTGATGGTGAAGATTAAATGAAATAATACGGCTCAAGGGGGAGGATCACTTGAAGCCAGGAGTTTGAGACTAGCCTGGGCAACAAAGCCAGACCTCATTTCTATGAAAATGTTTTTTGTTTTCTTTTGTTTTGCTTTTTGAGATGGAGTCTCGCTCTGTTGCCCAGGCTGGAGTGCAGTGGCATGATCTCAGCTCACTGCAAGCTCTGCCTCCTGGGTTCATGCCATTCTCCTGCGTCAGCCTCTGGAGTAGCTGGGACTACAGGCGCCCGCCACCACACCCAGCTAATTTTTTGCATTTTTAGTAGAAACGGGGTTTCACCATGTTAGCCAGGATGGTCTCGATATCCTCACCTTGTGATCCACCTGCCTCGGCCTCCCAAAGTGCTGGGATTACAGGCATGAGCCACCTGCCCGGCCCGAAAATGTTTTTTAAAAAATTAGCTGGACTTGATGGTTTATGCCTGTATTCCCAGCTACTCGGGAGGCTGAGGTGAGATCATTTGAGCCCAGGAGTTTGAGGCTGCAGTGAGCCATGATCACGCCACTGCACTCCAGCTCAGGCAACAGAGAGAGACCCTATCTCAAATCAATGAATAAGTAAGTAAATAAATAAATAAATGAAATAATGCACACAATTACTACACTAGTACATGATCAGGCACATGATAAATGCTCAATAAATGGTAGCCCCAATAAGCTTTGTAATGTTTTGGGAAAGGGTGTCCTTTGGACTCAGCCCAGTGACAGAAGCATTTGAAAAGACTGATTTGTATGATGGCTATTTCCTCCAGGTACAAACCTGTACCTCCAGGGACCCAGGGCATTGGCTCAGTGGGGCACCTTGTTCTATTTTCTCTTGTTTTGGGCAGCACTGATTGCCCTAGGGCTAATCAGGACTGCCACCCCAGACTCCATTGCCAAGAGTATCCCCCTCCCCAAGCTAGCCATGGGAAAGCCACTTGCATCCTAAGACTACTGGAAATTAAAGGGAATAAAAAGCACAATTTAGTCGCTCACTCTCCAGCTGATGGGAAATAGGTTTTTGCTATTTTGAACAGAGCTGTTAGGAACATTCCTTGTCCACATCCCCTGTTTTATATTGTTTTATATAGGCAAGAATTTCTTTTGGATGTAGAGTAGAATTGCTGAGCTGGGAGGAGTATGAATATTCAGCCTTATGAGATGGAGCCAAATTGTTTTCCAAAGTGGTTATACCAGTGTATACTCCCAGCAGCAGTTCTTAAGAGATCTCAGGATCTCTATCTTCTGGTGATGTCACAACATACAAAAAGAATGAATGCCAGCTATAAACAACAATAAGGATGAATCTTAGCAATATAATATTAAGTGAAAAAAAACAAGTTCCAGAAGGATGCATACAGCATCCTCTATATAGCTTGGAAAAGAAAATGTGGGCATGGTGGCTCATGCCTGTAATCCCAGCACTTTGGGAGGCCAAGGCAGGAGGATTGCTTTAGGCCAGGAATTCAAGACCAGCCTAGGCAACATAGCAAAACTCTGTCTCTACAAAAACTAGAAAAATTAACTGGGTGTGGTGGTGCAGGCTTGTAGTCCCAGCTACTCATGAGGCTGAGGTGGGAGGATCTCTTGAGTCTAGGTGATCAAGGTTACAGTGAGCCATTACTGCACCACTGCACTCAGAGACAGTAAGTAACTTGTCTAAGGTGGCCTCATTAGAAGTTAGCTGCGGCCAGGCGCAGTGGCTCACACCTGTAATCCCAGCACTTTGGAAGGCTGAGGCGGGCGGATCATGAGGTCAGGAGATCGAGACCATCCTGGCTAACACAGTGAAACCCCATCTCTACTGAAAATACAAAAAAAAATTAGCCGGGCATGGTGGCAGGCGCCTGTAGTCCCAGCTACTTGGGAGGCTGAGGCAGGAGAATGGCGTGAACCCGGGAGGCAGAGCTTGCAATGAGCCAAGATCGGGCCACTGCACTCCAGCCTGGGCAACACAGTGAGACTCCATCTCAAAAAAAAAAAAGAAGAAGTTAGCTGTGGTGGCTGGGTGCAGTGGCTCATGCCTATAATCCCAAAACTCAGGGAGGCCAAGGCAGGAGGATCACCTAAGATCAGGAATGTGAGACCAGCCAGGCCAACATGGTGAAACCCTGTCTTTACTAAAAATACAAACATTAGCCAGGTGTGGTGGTGGATACCTGTAATCCCAGCTACTCTGGAGGCTGAGGCAAGAGAATAGCTTGAACCCAAGAGGCAGACATTGCAGTGAGCTGAGACTGCACCACTGCACTCCAGCCTGGATGACAGAGCAAGACTCCATCTCAAAAAAAAAAAAAAAAAAAGATTCAAAAGCGTTAGAAACCAAATAAATGTAATGAAAACAATCAGATTTTCTGCTTAAAGACCAGCGAAGAGGACAAATGGGAGGGGGAAACTGGAGCTCTGCCCCTGTTGGTGGGAGTATAAACTGAACCAATTTTTCTGCAGGATAATTTGAAAATTTATATTAAAAACCCTAAAACTGTTGTACGTTATTTTCCTCCAGAAATTCTACTTCTATGAATTAAATCCAAAAATGCTTGCTCTAATCCACTAAAAATATACATATAAGAAAATTTATTTCTGGGGTGGCAATGATTAAGTTAATATACATCGAGCTATTAAAAATGATGATGCTAAGGATAGATTTACTGCCATAGAAATATGCCTAAAACATAGTGACAAAAGACTATATAATGATTCTACTTTTTAAAATGTGTATATGCATAAAAAAGTATAAAAAGCAACAAGGCAGAATGTTTTGAGTGGCAAAATTAAAGACTTTTCTTCATATTTTGTCTTCCAAATTATTAGAAAAAGAATATGATTTTCTTTATAATCAGGGAGAAGTATTATTTTCATTTATTTCTATTTAAATTTATTTTCTTTTCCTTATTTTTTCTCATCTATGTATCACATATAGTCTAGAAAGCTTGAATCCCTGCCTCTTGAGATAAATCAGCCCATTTCTTTCTCTATAAATTTGCCTTTTTTGGACATTTCAAATCAATGGAATTATACAATATGTGGTCTCGTGTCTGGCTTTTTTACTTAGCTAATGTTTTTGAGGTTGGTCCATGACATATTGTAGCAGGATGAGCTGCAGACAAAACTCCTCAGACACCAGGTTAAAAAAGGAAGGAGCTTTATTCAGCTGGGAGCTTCTGCAGACTTGCATCTCAAAAGCCAAGCTCCCCAAGTAAGCAATGACTGTCCCTTTTAAGGGCTTACAACTCTAAGGGGGTCTGTGTGAGAGGGTCGTGATCAATTGAGGAAGCAGGGGGTATGTGACTGGGGGCTGCATGCACCAGTAATTGGAATGGAACAGAACAGGACAGGGATTTTCACAATGCTTTTCCATACAATGTCTGGAATCTATAGATAACACAAGCAGTTAGGTCAGGGGTTGATTTTTAACTACCAGGCCCCCAATTTTTTTTTTTGAGATGGAGTCTCACTCTGTTGCCCAGGCTGGAATGCAGTGGTGGGATCTCAGCTCACTGCAAGCTCCGCCTTCCAGGTTCATGCCATTCTTTTGCCTCAGCCTTCTGAGTAGCTGGGACTACAGGTGCCTGCCACCACGCCCAGCTAATTTTTTGTATTTTTAGTAGAGTCGGGGTTTCACCGTGTTAGCCAAGGTAGTCTTGATCTCCTGACCTTGTGATCTGCCCACCTCAGCCTCCCGAAGTGCTGGGATTACAGGCATGAGCTACCACACCCGGCTGATATTGAAATTAACGTTTTGCTTTCTTCTTGCATCTATTTTTCACTTCTCTGACATTTTGATGGATAAAGTTTCATTTGGAAGGATTTTTATTTCAAAATAGAAATAGCATATAACATGAGAATGGGAACTCTGAAAGGTTCAACTTTCTAGTCATTAGTTTCCTAAGATTGTCATGAAAGCCACATATAGTCAATCATGATTGGCCTGTATTAAAAGTGAGATAACATCATGTACAACTTAAGCACTGTACTTTCTATCAGATATAGAAAAATAGGTGGTGTGTTTGGAAAAGTATTGGGCTAGGAGTCAGGAAGCTTGACTGTTAGTCCCAACCCTCCTTCTTCAGCTGAGCACCCCTAGGCAATAATTCAGCAGCTATTTCTTAAATACCTAATGAGTTTCAGGCTTTGTAGTTGGGCTGGGAATAAAGATATAGATATTGCTTTCATGATTCTCCAAGGCTCCCCTCCTCACCCCAACTCACAGTGAGCTTTCTTATGCATTGTGTAAATTTGTCTCCTAACAGGTCCCAACTCTCTCTCCAACCTGCTTCCCAGGGAAGTTGTGAGGATCAAATGAGAGAGAATATGTATGAAAGCAAATTCTAAATGATTTTAAAATGCAATAAAATATGACCTATGGAAAATTATTTAAAGATCCTTAGAATTTTAAATAAACAGTACATTAACCTGAGTTCTCTATGGTTTTTATTTTAAATAGATATGAAAGTTTTACAATGAACCACTGATATGGTTGAAAAACTTAGCTTGATTATTCTCCAAGAAAATGATACAGTGGTTTGTCTGGTGAATTTTCTAAAATTGCCAGCCAAATAAAACCAAAACCTCTTTTGAGTTGAGTGACTGGATCAGTCAAAGGAACATTGACTGTGTAATGGAGAAATGTTTTCTGTGTTCACTGACAGCTTGCCGTTGTTTGATTCCAGCTGCAGCATATCATGAGTGATGAGATCTGTGTACAGGTGACTGACCTTTACCTGGCAGAAAATAATAATGGGGCCACCGGAGGCCAGCCGAACACACAGAACTCAAGAAGCCTCCTGGAGTCAACGTATCCACAGAAAGCCAAGCAGCTAATGTCAGATGAGAAATGCTTTAAGGTGAGAGTTGCTCATGTAGTCAAAGACCTTGCTGGTGACAATGTAAGTTGTTAGGATTCTCTGAATCGGAAGTTATAGCCAGGGTACTTTGACCCCGTGATTCTACTCCTGGAACTTTTTAGAGTTCCTAATGAGTTCACCAGAGAAATACAAAGTGGAAGTAACCATCTTCCTGGACAATCTATTTTGTTTCTTTCTTGCCTTAAAAAAAAAAAACTAGTTATATATGATTTTTACAATTTTGTATTCTTCTTTTTCCCTGAACATTTTTCATAATATGCTTTGTATCTCTTATTGTTAAAAAAAAAAGTTGGTACATGAAACCCATGGTCGTGGTCATTATAGAAAAAAAAGTAGGCCTGGCACACTTGGCTCACACTTGTAATCCCAGCACTCTGGCAGGCCGAGATGGGTAGATCGCTTGAGACCAGCTTGGGCAATGCAGCAAAACCCCATCTTTGCAAAAAATACAAGAATACAAAAATTAGCCAGGTGTGGTGGCATGCGCCTCTAGTCCCAGCTACTCAGGAGACAGAGGTGGGAGAATTGCTTAAGCCTGGGAGGTCAAGGTTGCAGTGAGCCCTGATCATATCACTATGTTCCAGCCTGGGTGACAGAGTAAGACCCTATCTCAAAAAAACAAAACAAAACAAAAAATGCAGATAACCAAAAAAAGTCACCTTAGAATTCTTTCCTGAAATTACCATTGATGACATTTCTAGACTTTCCTGTGCTTGAGTATATATTTTGAAAGAGTTTATACTGGACAAATGGTCTTTCACTTTATTTATTTATTTATTTATTTAGAGACAGGGTCAGGCTCTGTTGCACAGGCTGGAGTGCAGTGGTATGATCCTGGCTCACTGCAACCGTGCCTCCTGGGTTCAAGTGATCATCGTGCCTCAGCCACCCTAGTAGTTGGAATTACATGGGCCACCACACTGGCTAATTTTTGTATTTTTAGCAGAGATGTGTGTCAGATCCCAGGGTCCAGGTCCAGCCCATGGTGAAGTCTGAGGGGAGTGGGTGGGTGAGCAGAAAGAACAATCGGGGGGCCATAGGCAGGTGAAAGATAGTTTTATTCAGCGGCAGCTCTCATTAACAGCTTTCTTACACTAGCTCTCTTATTAGCAGCTTACTCTTCCACTGTTCGCCTGTCTCAGCAGCTTGAGCCAGCTGCCCCTACACATAGCTGCGCAGCCAGCTCTCTCTTGCCTTCAGGGTCAGCAGCTTAACTCCTTCTCTCTCTGGGCATGAGCAAGCCCAGCTGTGTCCTGGCTCCCTCCCATCTGCCTGCAAGATGGACAGCTTTGGCTCTCTCTTTCTCTGGGTGCCAGTGTGCTCATCATGTCAAGCCATGTTAAGCCAAACTGAGCCAAGCCCCGAAGAGCCATGTCTCTTATGCACGGCATCAACAGGGCAGTTATACCTTTTACAGACAATAGTGGCATAAAGCCAGGAATGAACTTACACAAACAGGTTATATTACAAGTGGAGCTGTGTGCTTGCACGCCAAACTCGTGAGTCACACAGGCCTAGATATCCACCTCGGCCTATTCCTTGACCAAAGCACATCTATGTACCTTACTATGTGGTTTTGTATGTTGGCCAGGCTGGTCTCAAACTCCTGAACTCAAGTGATCTGCCCGCTTCAGCCCCCAAGTGCTGGGATTACAGGTGTGAGCCACTGCATCTGACCGGAAAGGATGTATTTTTGCTCAATTAGCAACACTTCTGGGTCTTTAATGTCTTTTCTATGGCTATTTGATATTCACTTTATAGAGAATTAATGCCTGTATTGTTGGACATTTAAGTTGTTTCCAAGTTTTCACCATTATAACTGTATTTGTGTGTATATATTATATTCTTGCCAGGCTGTAAGCTTTACTAGCAGAGAGGAAATTTTAAAGCTTTAAAAGAACGCTGAGCTAGATCTAGCTTCTGGCTCTGTGTGTTTATTGACCAGTGGTGTGCCTTGAGAAACCAGAACTCTCTGAATTTCAGTTTTGTCTCTGTGTAAATGAAGAAGGTTGTAATAAAAAAAATCTCAAGTTTCCTTCCAGGCTCTGATCTTCTCCATGTGATTCTGATAGTTACCTCCTCTGCAGAAAGCCATTAGGGTAACGGCACTGAGAATCTCAGGGTTCTGAAAGGGGAGATCCATGTGCCATCACCATTGATAGTTGTTTTTTGCAAAACATGTTTTGCTTGCCTCTATTGGTGTGTTGCTTTTAAGTACGGATTTTTTATTTTTATCACCAGGCAGCCCCTGCAACATTTTTGGCAAAAAAATCATTCTCCCATAGCAGATTGTGCTTGTGACTTTGGGCCATGATGAGGCCATAGTCTGGTGTCAATGTGGGGCAGCAATAATGACACACCTCATCCTGCTGTAAGGCCTTGTTGGAGGCTCTTTGCCTAGTCTCCAGGCAAGGGGCAGCTGCCCTTCTCTTAGCAAGGAAAGAGGGCTACTTCTTTTAGCCCAGAGCATTCCGTGGAAACTGGAGGCTCAAAGTTCTCAGATGTATCCACTTAAGTTTCCCCATACCAGCTATCAGGATCCTATTCCTCTCGTCTTGTCTCCTCCCCTCCCCTCACTTCCCCTCCCTTCCCCTCCCCTCCCCTTTATTTTCTTTTCTCTTTTTCTTTTTCTCTCTTCCTTTCTCTCTTTCTTTCTTTTTGTGATGGGATCTCATTCTGTCGCCCAGGCTGCAGTGCAGTGACGTGATCTCAGTTCACTGCAATCTGTGCCTCCTGGGCTCAGGCGATCCTCCCACCTCAGTCTCCTGGGTAGCTGGGACACAGGCAGACGCTACAACATCTGGCTAATTTTTGTATTTTTTATAGAGATGGGGTTTCACCATGTTGCCCAGGCTGGTCTCAAACTCCCGGGCTCAAGTGATCCTCCTGCCTCAGCCTCCCAAAGTGCTGGGATTACAGGTATGAGCCACTGCACTTAGCTCTCCTTTTCCTTAAGTAATTCTAAATAAAAACAAGACTAAATCATAAAATAAAATGTGTGTTTTTGGGGAAATGACACAAAACTTCCATGACACCTGACATTAAAATAGTTTATTTCTCGATTTCCTGCTGTGTGCATGTGTGTGTGTGCACCCTTGTCATTGGTTGACGCCCTATGTGTGTACTTGCTATAGCTACTGGGTCAATCTGCACAATGTCTGACTCCACAGTTTCCAGCAAACAAAAACTCTATATGGCCTAATTTTCAAGCAGTTGAGATTGAAGCAGCAGTCTCCTTCTGAATTTAATTTGAATTAAACTGCCAGGCCGTACTTGTGTGGGAAACTGACAATTTTCAGCAAGAAATTTCCAGGTGAGGCCTGTCACCCTCCAGTGTAACTCTAGGGCCTGCATGGCAGGGAGACTGGCTTTGGCTGGAGGCTGGGTCAAAAGGCCTCTCCTGGAATGGCACATTCCCATCCCAGGGAGGGAGCTCTGTTGGGAGCAAGAGATGGACCAAGAAGACCCATCCATTAGGAAAGTGGCCCTTGGTCTGTGCAATTTTAATAGAGTGGGGAGCTTGGTGCAATAACCACTTCTGATGGGGAAACTAGTTGGAGACATGGGCATTCATTGTCTTTCCCATGTGTGCCCCACTGGGGCCCAAACTTGAGGGGTGAAAAGTTCCAGGAGACAGATCAAGAGTGGTGTACATGTCACAACTGCCCAGGCTGGGCTCCTCCCACCACCCATCGGTCCTGCCCTCTGGAACCCCGGGCAGGCGGGCAGGAACGCTTTTTGTGGTCTGGGCTTCTGGCCAGGATGTCTATGGCTTCCTAACACCCATGTGGGGCAGCCTAGTGTAAAGATCCTGAAAGTAGGAGAACAGCAATTGATCAAGTGAACCCAAGATATGACTAAAACTCTCTGATGGCAAAGCCTTTGATGCTGAAGAGTCTGGCCCATAGAAAGATGGCCTTGAGCATGGCACCTCTGACCAAATCCCTTACTCTGACCTACTGAGCATATGGACCCAGCCCTGCTCACAGTCAGGGCTGAAGGAAGACCTCATGGAGTTTATGTGATAACTGCACTTCCCGTGTGCCTGTTACAGCTGATTCCACCCACACTGTCCTCTGCCCTGGCCAGCCCAGCCCTGCCATGCCCTGCCATTGCAGTCAGGGCTCTTTGGGTGTGAGTGACAGAAAATTCACTCGAGTTGGCTTAGGCAAGAAGGGAAGTTCATTGCTCAGTAAGTTAGCCACGGGCAGGGCAGGGAACAGCTGGGCCTCAGGAATACCTGGACTCAGAGTCACCAGCACTGTCAAGATTTGCAGGCTCCTTCCCTTGTCTCTGTCTCCACCTCAGTCCGCAGATCAGTTTTGTGCTCTCAGAGCAACTTTCTTCACAAGGTTGGAATCAGGCTGTTGGCAGCATGAGGCTTCCATCTTCCTGGCTTTGCCCCTAAGAAAGGATGGGGCTCCTCTCCATTAGTTCCTATTCAGAAAATTCCAGAAGAAAGTTACTGCTTGGTCTGGTCTGGATTGGCTGGGTAGCTGGGACACTAGAACTGCCAAGCCCTCTAGTGTCATGTGGTTGAAGTAGGGCGGGGAGATGTATTAGTCAGTTCAGGGTGCCATGCCACAATACCACAGACTGGGTGGCTTAAGCCACAAACATTTATTTCTCACAGTTCTAGAGGCTGGGAAATCCAAGACCAAAGTGCCAGCAAGGTAGGTTTCATTCTGTGGCCTCTCCTCTTGACCTGTAGGTGGCTGCCATATTGTATGCTTACATGACCTCTTCTTTGTATTTGTGAGGAGAGAGAGAGTGAGTGAACTCTCTGGTGTCTCATCTTATAAGGACACTAATCCTACTGAATCAGGGCCCCACCCTTAGGACCTCATTTAACCTTAATGACTTCCTGAGATGCCTCATCTCCAAATGCAGCCACAGAGAGGGTTAGGGCTGGATTTGGAAGAGACAGAGACATTCAGTCCATGATGGAAAGAAAAACTATTCATGAAAAAACGGGTGCAGTAGCCAGAAAAGGGGAGACAAAACTACAGATGGTCTCCCCATTTCCCCCAATACACAATACACACACACACACACCCCTGCCTTTGCCCCTTCCCCACAAGGCCACTCCCCACCCCGTGATTATTTACCTCCCTCCTGTCCTGCTCTCTGGAGCTGCCCCTTCCCCTAAGTTGTCCTGTGGCTCACTGAATGCTGCATGCAGGTAGGTGCATGTAAATGCAGCCCGGAACTGGGGGCCTCCTGGACCATGTGTGTCCTGAGCCCCACCATGGGACTGGGCAGGAAGTGGGTCTTACCCATGTCTCCTGTCCTCAGGCAGAGCCTAGCCCTGGGACATGAGCTCAGTGGGTGCTGCAGCTTTGTTGGATTCACCTCAGGCGCCCTTTCCCCATCCACTTATAAGGTACCCAGGGCCTTGATACCTCTGTCCTTGGAAGAAAAGAATGAGATTACCCAGCTCACATGAACCTGCTGGTGGCTTTCCACAATAGAAGGATATAATTTTCCAGTTCAAAGAGTCTACCGAGTGACTAGCATAGTGAATGAAGAAAGACCTACAACAAGGCACATCATTGGGAAATTCCAGAAAAGCAAGGATAGAGAGAAAATCCTAAAATCTTATAGAGAGAAAAGAGGTCATATATAAAGAGCCAAGACTCAGCATGACACTGACTTCTTCCCAACAACACTGGGAACTAGAAAATAATAGAGCAATATTTCCCAATGTGAGGAGAAGTTATGTTTAAATTAGAGCATTATTTCCAGCCAAACTATTAATCAGGAGTTGGAGTAGAACAATGACATTTTAAAATATGTGGGGTCGGAAACTTGGCTTCCATTCACTCTGTCTCAGGAAGCCACTGGAAGATGTGCTGCAACACGGTGAGAGGATAAACCAAGGAAAAAGAAGATCTGGGGCCAGGGAACAGGAGATGCACACAGAAGAGGCAGCAGGAAATTCACACGATGGTGCAGAGACATGCCAGGATGCCAGCTGTGCCATGGGCTGAGAGCCGAGTCCAGTTTGGAGCAGAAGGATGGAGTTCAAGGGAGAGAGAGAAGCCTCCAGGAAAATAATGGGGCTGATAGAGTATCCAGTGTATCTTAGTTTTTGGATAATTATCACTAGGCATTTGATAGATTGGTTGAAGCATCTGAAAAAATTGGTAGGTAATTGGTAAAAAATAAAAATAAAAATAAAGAAAAACATAAACAAATGAAGGGAAAAAGTCTACAGCAATTATTAACTCTGGGGGAATAAAGGAAAGAAATGAAACAATTTCAGTGTGGAACTTGGGTTAGGGAACAATATTTACATAGCTATAAGAATGTAAATGCTTTTGATTTCATAAAATTGTGATCCAGTCAAATTGGTGTAATGGAGGCAAGGAAAGTAAGACCTCATAAGGAAGGTAAGCCCTATACTGTGCTATGCCAGGAATTGACAGATACTGAAGAAAACAAATCAAGAAATAGCAACATAAACATTCTTTAGAAATACAATGATAGTCCGGGCATTTTGGCTCACACCTGTAATCCCAGCATTTTGGGAGGCCAAGGTGGGCGGATCACCTGAGGTCGGGAGTTCAAGGCCAGCCTGACCATGGAAAAAACCCATCTCTACTAAAAATACAAAATTAGCCAGGTGTAGTGGTGCATGCCTGTAATCCCAGCTACTCAGGAGACTGAGGCAGGAGAATCGCTTGAACCTGGGAGGTGGAGGTTGTGGTGAGTGGAAATCACACCATTGCACTCCAGCCTGGGCAACAAGAGCAAATCTCCATCTCAAAAAAAAAAAAAAAAAAAAAAAAAAAGATAAATACCAGAGGAAGTAGCAAAATCAGCTTAAAGAGATGGCCTCTGGGAATTAGAACTCAAAGGCAAGAAAGGAAAGGGAAGAGTAAATGGTTTTTGATATAAGCCTTTTATTATCATTTTGTTCTTTTTTCTTCTTTTCTTGTTTTACTGAGGATTTCTTGATCCAGATACCATTTTGTTCTTAACTCTGTGTATCTAGTACTTTGATCAGAATTAAATATAATGTTATTAGTTCTGGAGACCTGTTGTACAGCATGATGACTATAGTTAATAATAACGTATGCTTGAAAATTGCTAAGAAAGTAGATTTTTCGCTTTTATTATTATTTTTTTCTTTTTTTTTTTGAGACGGAGTCTCGCTCTGTCACCCAGGCTGGCGTGCAGTGGTACAATTTCGGCTCACTGCAACCTCCGCCTCCCGGGTTCAAGCAAGTCTCTGCCTCAGCCTCCCAAGTAGCTGGGATTACAGGCATCTGCCAGCAGGCCTGGCCAATTTTTGTATTTTTAGTAGAGACGGGTTTTCACCATTTTGGCCAGGCTGGTCCTGAATTCCTGACCTCATGATCCACCTGCCTCAGCCTCCCAAAGTGCTGGCATTATAGGTGTGAGCCACCACGCCCGGCTATTTTTATTTTATTTACTATTTTTTTTGACACGGAGTCTCACTTTTTCACACAGGCTAGAGTGCAGTGGCACGATCTCAGCTCACTGCAACCTCTGCCTCCTGGGTTCAAGTGATTCTCCTGCCTCAGCCTCCTGAGTAGCTGGGACTACAGGCCCATGCCACCACACCTGGCTAATTTTTGGTATTTTTAGTAGAGACGGGGTTTCACCATGTTAGCTGGGATGGTCTCCATCTCCTGACCTTGTGATCCACCCGCCTCAGCCTCCCAAAGTGCTGAGATTACAGGAATGAGCCGCTGTGCCCAGCCTGCTTTTATTATTTTTAATCAACACATAGTTGTATATATTTATGGGGTATAATATTTTATACATGTATACAATGTGTAATGATCAAATCGTAATTAGCATCTCCACCACCTCAAACATTTATCATTTCTTTGTTCTGGTAGCATTCAAAATCCACTCTTCTAGCTATTCAAAACTATATAATAAATTGTCATTAATTACAGTCACCCTATAGTGCTAAAGACACTAGAACTATTCTTCCTATCTAGCTGTACTCTTTGTTTTTGTTTTTGTTTTTGTTTGTCCCCCAGACAGGGTCTCATTCTGTCCCTAAGGCTGGAATGCAGTGATGCAGTCACAACTCACTGTAGCCTTAACCTCTTGGACCCAAGTGATCCTTCCACCGCAGCTGCCCAAGTAGCTGGGACCACAGGCGTGCACCACCATGCCTGGCTAATTTTTAAATTTTTTGTAGAGAGTGGATCTCCCTATGTTGCCCAGCCTGGTCTCAAACTCCTGGCTCAAGTGAGCCTCCCAAAGTGCTAGGATTACAGGCGTGAGCCACTGCACTCAGCCATGTACTCATGTATCTGTTAACCTGTTAGCCAACCCTTGGTTACCCCCTCCCCCTTACTCTTCCTCACCTCTAGTAAACACTATTCTAAGCAAAGAGATCTTAAATGTTCTTACCACAAAAATAATAATAAAAGTATGTGAGGTGATTAAAATGTTAATTAACTTGATTTAATCATTTCACAATGTATGCATATATCAAAACATCACACTGAACGCTGTAAATGTACACAATTTTTATTTGCCAAATATACTTTAATAAAGATGGGGGAAGAATTGAATATGATGTTAAAACAAAAACAATAGCAAAACCTAAAGAAAATTAATAAGCTAGTTCAGACCAGCCTTTTACAGATGAGGTCACTGAAGTGCAGAGAGCTGAACTGACTTGTCTGATCTTACACAGCAAGTCACCGGCAGAACTTGGCCTGAAATCCAAAGCCAAGCATTTTCTAATACCTCCAGCTCCTTCAGTCCAGCCCTCCCGGGGCTCTGCTTGGGGAATTGGTATTGGTGACAAAGGGAATAGAGAGAAACATGCATGGCGTTCTCCATTTAGATTAACATAATCACACTGTGCCAGGGCGTCAGCCGGAAACAGTGCAAACTCCAAGAGTGCTCCCCCGACCCTTTTCCCCTCCCCATCCTCTCTCATAATCAACTTCAGCAAAAAGGACTGAGAAGAAAAGGGAATCTTAGATGACTCTCACTAGGGTATAAATGGCTCCCACCATGATTTTTATTTTATTGAGACATAAATCTAAAAACAGTTTGACGGATAGGATGCCAGGCAGTAGAATGAAGACAGATGGGGAAACTGCCTAGGGTCATGAAGAATGTGGAGGCACTGAGGTCCTGAGTAATTTCATAAACAACACCTTAGGAAATGTCCAGCACCATGGTTTTTTACCTTCACTCAGGACCCACAAGGCCCCACGTTCTGACAGATTTTGTTTATCAGACAAATTGCACTCAGTCATGCTTCATTCATGTTCCCTGGAGAGTTCCCAGGTTACATAGAATTGAGATAATCTCCCCCCTCCCCGTCACCCCCACGAAGACACTCCATCTTTCTGTTTGCAATACAATCTTATACGGATCAATATTAGATTTTCATGGCGCTCTTTGCATTTTGCAACTATTGCTCAAGCTGGAGACCCAAAAAGAGCACTAGCTTTAGAGTCAAAGACCCCTGGGTTCCAGTTTCAGCTGAGAGACTGTGAGCACATCACTAGCCCACTCTAATCCTGTATCCCAGTTGTATAATCACCTATTTCCCATCAATTGCAAGGCTGGAGAGAAAAGTGCCCACTCTGTGACCAGTACACAGTAGGAGCTTAGTACGCTTATCTTGCTTCCCCACTATCCTAGTGTGTTAGGGGAAAGACAGAGATGTGGGGAATGGCACCTGGGAGGCTCCAGCTGTATGCTTCATAATACTACCGAAGAAAAATCTGAATTAGGCTTCAGTTTCCCATCTAAAAAATGAGACAGGACAGGAGTGGGTAGGAAGAGGAGGAGCTGGGCTTTGTTGGTTTAAGCTGGGCCCGTCTGATTCTGTAACGTGGACTTCACTGTCGGATCCAGCCCACTCCCCAGCCGGAGCTTCGCGTGCTCTGAATGTCTTTTGGGCAAGTCCAAGGCTGTCCAGGGTCGGGGTGGGGAGGCGGGGTGGTGGGTAGCGGGGTGGGGAGAAGCAGTTCCCACACATAACCTGTAGGTGGCACCAGAGCAGCGCAAGAGCCAAGGGTTCCGCTCCAGCGTTCCTGGAGACCCGGGCAGGGCGGGGTAGGGCTAGGCAGAGGTGGTGCACACCGCTCAGCTGGGCAGCGCCACCAGCGCGGCTGCGGATGGATCCACACCGTTTGAAATAGACACATAGGTCTTCTGGCTAATTTCCTCTCTTTAATAGGGTGATCATATGCTTTATCATCCAAATCCAGACACTTCGGAGAGTGAAAGGGGACACTAATAATTGCACCGGGACAGCAGACATAACCTTAGCTGTACCTTGCAAACCAGAACGAACATATGGTTGCCCTACCCTCTGGTCACTTTTTCTTCCTTGTTTCCATTCTTTTTATTTTTATTTTTTTCTTCTTAAACACACAGCATTCTTTTTCCCCGAGCGCCATTGTCTTTTAAAATGCCCTTGCAATCAGGATATTTCCGACCATGCAACATCGGCTTCCGCATCTTGAGTCTGAACAGTCTCTCTGAACCCACTCCAAAGGCTGGTTTTAACTTCCAGTCAGAAGACTCTGTTCCTGGCTTACTATCCCCATGACTCAGGAATTAAAGATGTCAGACGTGGAACAGTGGGCCTTATCTCAACTTTGGTGCCTCTTTGCTAAATTTGTTCCTGAATTTTTTTTTTTTTTTTTTTTCTGAGATGGAGTCTCACTCTTTCGCCCAGGATCCAGTGCAGTGGCGCGATCTCAGCTCACTGTAACCTCCGCCTCCCGGGTTCAAGTGATTCTCCTCCCTCAGCCTCCCAAGTAGCTGGTACTATAGGCGCCCACCCCCATGCCCAGCTACTTTTTGTATTTTTAGTAGAGACGGGGTTTCACCACCTTGGCCAGGCTTGTCAGAAACTCCTGACCTCCGGTGGTCCGCCCGCCTCAGCCTCCCAAATTGCTGGGATTACAGGCGTGAGCCACCGCGCTTGGCCCTGTTCCTGTAATTTTGTTCTGAGTGCTCATGTCCTTTGTCTCTTTGAATTTACGTATATTGATTTATTGAATTGCAAGTAGACAAGCCCCATTAAGCAGGATTTTTATATTTCCAAGATCATCCCATTACGCCATTCAACCCCAAATTAGCATGCCATTTATCCCCTTGTTTCTGAACCCTCTTCACTTAGTAGTCTCGGAAACATCCATTGCAAAACGGACTCAAACTTTGCTCACTTCCATTTTTATTTATCCAAGTAATGATTTGTCTGGGGGAGTCATTAGTAGAGAATTGTGCCCTTAAATGTATTTTTATAGTTGGATGCTGCTAGTTAATCTCTCTGTCATTCTCACATTGCAACCAACGACTGTGGGTTTCTGTCTTAACCTAAAATCTAGGTTAGAAATTTGGTTTTATCTGAATAGGATATTAATAGATAATGTGAAAAAAAATTTAATTTACTGAAACTTTTCTCAGCTAAGAATGACACTCATGGTCACAAATATGTATGCAAGCAAGCAGAAAATTGGGCTGTAAATATATAAACTCTTTTTTTGAAATGGAGCCTCACTGTGTCACCCAGGCTGGAGTGCAGTGGTGCGACCTCGGCTCACTGCAACCTCCGCCTCCCAGGTTCAAGCAATTCTCCTGCCTCAGCCTCCTGAGTAGCTGGGATTACAGGCATCCGCCACCACATCCGGAAAATTTTTTTGTATTTTTAGTAGAGATGGGGTTTCACCATGTTGGCCAGGCTGGTTTTAAACTCCTGACCTCAAGTTATCTGCCCGCCTCGGCCTCCCAGAGTGCTAGGATTACAGGCATGAGCCACCATGCCTGGCCTAAACTCTTAAAATATTATGTTTAGAGGCAAGATTTTCCTTTTTTTCTTCTTTTTTAGTAAAGTATATTTGCTATGGTTGGAATGATTGTGTCTCCTCCAAAATTCATGCTGGAATTTAAGACCCAATGTGATAGTATTAAGAGGTGGAGTGTTTAGGAGATGACTAAGTAGTGAGGGAGAAGCCCCCTCATGAATGGGATTAGTGACCTTATGAAAGGGCTTGAGGGAGCTACCCAGCTCAGTTTTGGTCTTTTGCTTTTCTGTCCTTTCCACCATGTTAGACACAGCCTTCCTCATCCCTGGAGGACTCAGCATTCAACGTGCCTTCTTCGAAGCAGAGAGCAGCCCTCACTAGACTACAAACCTGCTGGTACCTTGATCTTGGACTTCCCAGCCACCAGAACTGTGAGAAATACATTTTTGTTTTTATACATTACCCAGTTTCAGCTATTTTGTTACAGCAGCACAAATGGACTAAGACAGTATCTTACATACAGTGAGGTGCATATACCTTAAGTTACAACTCCATACTATTTACATATGTGCACACTCACGTGACCATCATTCAGTTCAAGATACAGAATGCTTGCATCACCACAGAGGACTCCCTCTTGCCCCTTCTCAGTTGCTATTCTTCTCAAAGTTAACCACGATACTGACCTCTGTCACCATGGAATAGTTTTGCCTGTTCTTGAACATCATATAAATGGAATCATACAGTATGTGCACATTTGTGGCTGGCTTCTTTCATTCAACATCATCCTATGAGATTTAGCCATGTTCTGGGTACTGGTAGTTGTTTATTTTTCTGCTTGTGTGGTTTCCCATATTTTATTTATTACCCTTCCTTTTTTTGTTTTTTTGTTTTTTGAGACAGAGTCTCGCTCTGTTACCCAGGCAGGAGTGCAGTGGCATGATCTCGGCTCACTGCAACCTCCACCTCCTGGGTTCAAGCAGTTCTCCTGCCTCGGCCTCCTGAATAGCTGGGATTACAGGCACGCACCAGCATGCCCAGCTAATTTTTGTGTTTTTAGTAGAGATGGGGTTTCACCATGCTGGCCAGGCTGGTCTCGAACTCCAGACCTCGTGATCTGCCCGCCTCGGCCTCCCAAAGTGCTGGGATTACAGGCATGAGCCACCGTACCTGGCTATTTATTACCCTTCCATTTTTATGTCTAACTCAGTGTCTTGTGGGGTCTATTGGTACTTTTTAGCTGGATTGATATTAAAAATCTTCTTATCGATGGAGCTTAGGAAATTTTTAGAAGATGAAAGCCTAATAAACCCAAGCCCCCCAATCTTAAGCCAACTTTCCTTCTCATGACTGCATCAGTTGCTCTTCTTTGTGTGGTATTTTTTTCCTTACAAAGCTGATGGAAAACCAAGGAACACAGAAGCTCTTCATCATGTTATCAGCTTACAGACACTTGTCATCTGAATAACAGGGTAGATATTTATAACCTGAAATGTTAAAATAACAATAGCACACACTTACATACCACTAACTGCTGTTCAAAGTGGCTTCACATATATTATTTTCCTCACAACACCTCTGTGAAATAGACACTATTATTGTCATCCCCACATTTTAAATGGGGAAATTCAGGCAGAGAGAGACCATGTAACTTTCCCAAGGTGGTAGAGCCAGGGCTTGAACCTGTGTTTTCTGGTTTTAGAAGCTACACACTTCACCACCATACCATATTGTGTAGCCTGATGCTTCCTGTAGTTACAGTATTTTCTTCTATTAGCTTGGGAGCATTTTCTGAATAATACAAATCTTATAAATTTCCTTGAAAGAATACGAGTAAATTGAAATGGAAGATCTAATATAGAATGTGTGGCATTCGTGAATAAGTTATAGGACTCTCTGGTTTTAAATAATAATTATTTGCTTATCTTGTGACTTTTGTCACACAGGGCTGTAATGCGCTAGCCTCATTTTCCTTCTCTTCAATAGGAGGAGATGGACTCAGAGACAGGCACAATTTATCCTAAAGTCTCATCACACTTTCCCTCACCATCTGGAAGCTGGAGACAGGTTCATGAAATCTGGATTGAGAACTAGTTGAATGCCACTTGTAGCATAGCAAGTCTAAGAAAGAAAGATGGTTTTACTTGCCAGTTCTGTTGCACAGGGTCCTGCAAGTTTTGGCAGTTAACATATGTGACCAACAGTTTTCTCACAAAGATTATCAGGGTTCTAGAGGAAATTATCTTCCAGTTTTATTCTGCTGCTAAAGTGCTATATTTCTTTTCTTTTCCTTTCTTTTTTTTTTTTTTTTTTTGACAGAATCTTGCTCTGTCGCCAGGCTGGAGTGCTGTGGAGCAACCTTGGCTCACTGCAACCTCCACCTCCCGGGTTCAAGTGATTCCCCTGCCTCAGCCTCCCGAGTAGCTGGGACTACAGGTGCGCCACCACACCCAGCTAATTTTTTGTATTTTAGTAGAGATGGGGTTTCACCATGTTGACCAGGATGGTCTTGATCTCCCGACCTCGTGATCTGCCTCCCTCGGCCTCCCAAAGTGCTGGGATTACAGACATGAGCCACCACACCCGGCCAGTGCTGTATTTCTTTATAAATGAACTAATTAATTATTGGTCACTTGTTTTTCATTAGGCATTTCTTTTCCTCTTTATGCTGTTTTATGTCTCTTTATGCCCAGCCCCAGGTTTTTCCTTCTAACACCAAGAAGATTATTGAAATTTTCTCTGTCAAACTCCCAGGCTCGAGTGATCCTCCCCCGTCTGCCTCCCGTGTAGCTGGCATTACAGGTGTGCACCATTGCGCCCTGCTGATTTTCTCTTTAACCTTCCCCCTGAGCATGTGTACACATACACACAAACATAAATATAGATACCCACACATCCACATGTATACACAAACACACACACAGAAACATACACATATCTACATGTACTTATTAGATATACATTTACAAACACAAACACACATGTGCACACACATATGTACACATCTTCCATCTTCTTCTCAAGACTCAGGGTTCTCAGAGAGTGGAAAGAGCATTATACCATGAGTCAAGAATCAACTGTGCAACTTTGCTCAAGTGTCTTTCCTTTCGACATATTGTTTATAATAATAAACATCCTTACCCACCAATTAGGGTTATTTTGAAGATAAAACAGAAAGGAAGGATAACAGAATGATGGTATGTTGTATAGCTAAAAAAAAATTAATCTTGACCCAAAAGAGTTCTGGCCTTTGTCCTCGACTCCTAGGAGGTAATCTCCAACATGTAATGCCTGACAGGAATATCTTTGCCTGTGGATCTCGGGTCTTGATGGATAGTCTAGTAGAAAGATTTAGGGTGGGGACCAGCCAGTCCAGGAAAACCAACTATGTGATTTAGAGTCCAGGCTTTATGTCACCCCTGGAATCATGGGAGACTCGAAACTAAGAGCAACCACGTGGACAATCAAGCATGCCTCTGTGATGAAGTTCCAGTAAAAACCCTGAACACTGAGGCTTGAGGGAGCCTCACTGGCTGGGAATACTCCATGTGTATTGGCACATAGCAAAGTCAGGAGGGTAATGCACTCTGACTGCATGGGGAAGGGATAATGGACACTCCATGTCTGGTGCCCTCCTGGACTCAGCCCTATACCTTTCTTCCCCTGGCTGATTTTAGTCTATATCCTTCCCCTGTAATCAAACCATAACTGTGAGTATAACAGTTTTCTGTGAGTTCTGGCCAGTTCTTAGAGGTAAGCAAACAGAGCTCATCTACTGCTTGTTGAAAAAACTATTTTAAAATCCCTAAACCAAAGAAGGCCAGAGTTCTCATGAATCTGACCCAACAGATTTTGAAGCCAAAGCTGAGGGCATTTGAAGCCAAAGCCAGGCTACACAGAGATGAGGCTCCTGGGAGGGAACAGGTGCAGTCCTGCTCAGGCTGCAGTGTCCCTGGGCTACAGCTGGACAAGGGCTCCCTCTGGGTCACAGCCTCTAGGGACAGAGTTTGGGGCAGGTTGACTGTCTGATTTGTAGGACTCTGGTGATGAGCTCAGCTGGGAAACTGTGTGGTAATGGGAAGAGAATGGTTTTGCTTTTCCAAATCATCCACCCTCTGCATGCTTTGATCCATACTGGAACTCAGTGTGGAAACAGTGCCTTTGAACAGCCTAAGCCTAAACTCTGGGCTGTGTGTCCAGTTTCCTGGCCTCCAGCTTAGTTCACTCCTTACCCCGCCCATCACTGATACCAGATCCATCCTCCCAAATATCCTTTCATCATGTTACCTCCCTACCACCTCATGGCACCTTCAACACAACAGGAAATGTCTCCAACCTCAGCCTGGTATTCAAGGTTCTTTCTGATGTGGCCCACCTCTCACCACTCCACCACATCTCCCTGTGGGCCCTGCCAAACTGGATCATTTTTTTTCTATCCATGAGCTGTGAACTTTCCCACCTCCAAATTGTTGCTTATACTGTGTCCTTCCTCTGAATGTTCTCTTCCTCCCTCTCCCCCAGTCCAAATGCTATAGACTGAATTGGGTCTCCCCAAAATTCATACATTGGAGCTCTGATCTGCTATGTGATTGTATTTGGAAATAGAGCTCTTAGGAGATAATTAAAGTTCGGTGAGGGAGGAGGAGCAGATCAAGATGGCTGAATAGCAGCCTCCACCAATGATTCTCCTTGCAGGAAAATCAAATTTAACAACTGTCCACAGCAAAAAAGCATCTTCATAAGAACCAAAAATCAGGTGAGGACTCAAAGTACCTGGCTTTAACTTCATATCGCTGAAAGAGGCACTGAGGAGGGTGGGAAAGACAGTCTTGAAACACTGATGTCACCCCTCCCCCATCCCTCAGCAGTGGCCGCTGTGGTGCTGAGAGAATCTGTGCACTTGGGAGAGGGAGAATGCAGCAACTGTGGGACTTTGCACTGAACTCAGTGCTGCCCTGTCACAGCAGAAAGCAAAACCAGGTGGAACTCTCATGACACCTGCCCATGGAGGGAGCATTTAGACCAGCCCTACCCAGAGGACTTCACCCATCCCAGTAGTTAGGAGGCTTGAGGCTTGGGTTTTGACAAGCCTTGGCATGGCAGGCTATCATGCTCTGGGGCCCTAAATAAACTTTCAAGCCAGTCTAGACCATAAGGACTTCAACTCCTAGGCAATTCCTAATGCCATGCTGGGCTCAGAGCCAGTGGACTCGGGGCACACAACCTAGAGAGACACCAGGCAAGGGAGCCAAGGGAGGGTTTGCACCACCCCTCCCCCAACCCCAGGCAGCACAGCTTGCAGCAACAAAAGTGACTTCTTCCTTTTGCTTGAGGAGAGGAGGGGGAAGAGTAAAGAGGACTTTATCTTACATCTTGGATACCAGCTCAGCCACAGTAGGATAGAGCACTAGTCAGAGTTGAGAGGCCTCCATTCCAGGACGTAGCTCCTGAATTACATTTCTAGATACACCCTGGGCCAGAAGGGAACCTGCTGCCTTGAAGGAAAGAACCCAGTCCTGGCAGGATTCATCATCTGCTGACTCTAGAGCCCTTTTGACCCAAATAACCTGCAGTGATACCCAGGTAGTATGCTATGGGCCTGGAGTAAGACTCTGAGGCATGCTGGCTTCGGGTGAGACCCAGCATATTCCCAGCTATGGTGGCTGTGGTGAGAGACTTCTTCTGCTTGAGAAAAGCAGAGAGAAATGCACAAGGGACTCTGTCTTGCAGCTTAGGTACCTGCCTGGCCACAATGTGGTAGAGCATCAAATGGGCTCTTGTGGTCACTGATTCTAGGCCTTGGCTCTTAGACAGCATTTCTGGACCTGCTCTGACCTCACCCTGAAGGGTGAGTCCCAGGCCTGGAAGCATTCACCACAAGCAACTGAAGAGCCCTTGGGCCCTAAGTGAACATAGCCAGTAGCTTGGCAGTACTCGCTGTGGGCCTGTGGGGGTGGCCACAGGGTGAGGCTCCTCTGCCTGTGGAAAGGGGAAGGAAGAATGGGAAGGACTTTTTCACATGGTTTCAGTGCCAGTTCAGCCACCATAGACTAAAGCACCAGGTAAATTTCTGAGGTTTTTGACTCCAGTCCCTGGCTCCCAGACAGCATCTCTGGACCCGCCAGGGCCTGAGGGAACTCATTGGCCTGAAGGGAAGGACACAAACATGGCTGGCTTTGCCACCTGCTGACTGTAGAGCCCTAGGCCTTGAGTGAACATAGGGGATAGCCAGGTAGTGTTTACAGCAGGCTTTGAGTGAGACCCAGTGCTTTGCTGGCTTTAGGTCTGATCCATTGCAGTCCCAGTGGTGGTGGCCATAGGGATGTTGTGTCAGCCCACCCCTAGCTCCAAGTGGCTCAGCAGAGAGAGAGAGACTGAGACTGTTTGTTTGGGAGAAATGACAGGTAGAGGATAAGAATCTCTGCCTGGTAGTCCAGAGAATTCTAGATCTTACCCAAGACCACCAAGGCAGTACCTCTATGAGTCTGCAAGAACCATAGCATTACTGGGTTTGGCGTGTCCCCTAATGCAGATACAGTTTAGATCACAAGACCCACATCCTTCAAATACCTGGAGAGCCTTCCCAAGGATGGGTACAAACAACCCCAGACTGAGAAGACTACAATAAATACATAAATCTTGAATGCTAAGGCACTGACAAACAACTGCAACCATCAAGACCATCCAGGAAAACATGACCTCACCAAACAAACTAGAGGGGCGAATCCTAGAGAAGCAGAGATAAGTGACCTCCAGACAGATAATTTAAAATAGCAGTTTTGGGGAAACTCAGAGAAATTAAAGATAACACAGAAAGGATTCAGAATTCTATAAGATAAATTTAACAATGAGATTGAAATAAAAAGAATCAAGCAGAAATTCTGGAGTTGAAAAATGCAATTGACATAATGAAGAATGCATCAGTCTCTTAATTGTGGAATTGATCAAGCAGAAGAAAAAATTAGTGAGCTTGAAGACAAGCTATTTGAAAATATACAGTTAGAGAAGACAAAAAAAATTTTTTTTTAATGAAGCATGCCCACGAAATCTAGAAAACAGCCTCAGAAGGGCAAAGCCAAGAGTTATTGGCCTTAAAGAGGAAACAGAGAAATAGAAAGTTTATTCAAAGGGATAATAACAGAGAACTTTCCAAACCTAGAGAAAGCTATAAATATTCAAGTACAAGAAGATTATAGAACACCAAGCAGATTTAACCCAAAGAAGACTACCTGAAGACATTTAATACTCAAACTCCCAAAGGTCAAGGATAAAGAAAGGATCCTAAAGCAGCAAGAGAAAAGAAACAAATAACATACAATGGGACTCCAATACGCCTGGCAGCAGACTTTCTGTGAAAACCTTACATGCCAGGAGAGAGCAGCATGACATATTTTAAGAGCTGAAGGAAAAAACTTTTACCCTAGAATAACATATCCAGTGAAAATGTCCTTTGAACATGAAGGAGAAATAGACTTTCCCAGACAAACAAAAGCTGAGGGATTTCATCAACACCAGACCTATCCTACAGGAAATGCTAAAGGGACATCTTCAATCAGAAACGAAAGGACATTAATGAGCAATAAGACATCATGTGAAGTTACAAAACTCACTGGTAATAGTAAGTACACAGAAAAACACAGAGTATTATAACACGGCAATTGTGCAAACAACTCTTAAGTAGAACGACTAAAAGATGAACCAAACAAAAATAGTAATAAGTACAACAACTTCTCAAGACATAGACAGTGCAATAAGATGTAAGTAGAAATAGCAAAAAGTTAAAAAGCAGGACAAATTAAAATAGAGTTTTTATTAGTTTTCTTTTTATTTGTTTCATTGTTTATTTGTTTGTTCCTTTGTGCAAGCAGTGCAAAGTTGTCATCAGTTTAAATAATGGGTTATAAGATGGTATTTCCAAGCCTCATGGTAATCTCAAATTTAAAAATATGCAATAAATACACAAAACACAAAAAGCAAGAAATTAAATCATACTACCAGAGAAAATCACCTTCACAATAAGGAAGACAGAAAGAAAAGAAGAAAGAGAAGACCACAGCAACCAGAAAACAAAATGGCAAGAATAAGTCAATACTAACATTGAATGTTAATGGACTAAACTCTCCAATCAAAACTGTTATGGAAAGAACTGTTATGGAGCAGTTCTCCCCATTCCCACCCACATCATTTTTCATCAACTCTAGATGAGCTAAGGGCCCCCAAATGCCTTAGGCTGAGCATTCCTTGGGGTGAGGTCCCTTCTTGCTCAGAGCCTAAAGACAAGTAGTGATATTGTTTCTGCCTGTCCAGTGTTTCCTAACAGGCCTTCAGTCTCCAGAGTGGAGAATCTGCCTTTGTGTGGGGTATTAGTAAGAAAATCTAGGAGCCACATCCAATCCTCTCTCACCCTGCTGCATCCAGGGAATGTGCATGTGACTTAGACTCAACCAACCAAATGCTCTTTCCTTGCATGGGAGAATTTGTGTGAGAAAGGCGGAGAAACAGAGATGGCTGTAGTACCACCAGAGGTCATGGGATAGGCAAGCTGAACTTTTTCTGCTCAGAGACTGTTATTGTGGTTTTTGGGGACTTCCTCTTTGTCTCTTGGCTCCTAACTGTTCTCAAGCCTGATTCGTCAGCTCCCTTCTACTCTGTCAGTTCCCTGACAGTCTTTCAGTAAGTCCCTTTTACTTAAGTTAGCCAGATTAGTTCTTAAGCTTTTAACCAAGAATGCTTTCTGGTGGAACAGAGCCTCTCTCACCCTTGTGGTTTGGCCAATGGAGAAAGGACTCTCTTGGGGGAGCAACCTTGAACTTGGCTGTGTTTCCAGGCTTGCTTCGATGTAGCAGGCTGGTCTTAGGGTACTGGCTTGGCTACCAGGGCCCTTCTCAGTAGGATCATTATGCCATGAATTGGTCTTAAATGTGACTTTCTCTCTGTCTCATGTAGGATAGTTGACACTGGCAAGGACCAGCTTCCCAGAATCAGACACAGAGGAGACAGCTTCTTTAGGACTCTCCAGTGACAAGCTAGTGCCAGTTCTGTGGTCAAGGGTTGACATGGGTTAGGAACAGAGGTAAATAAACGCTTGAGCTGCTGGAAAGTTCCATCTGTGCATCCCCAGCCTCCCCTGCATCTTTTCCTTTTTGTGTAAATTTCCATTCCTGGTAAGGATGGACACATGGAGAAACCCATCTTTTTTAATACAATGTCATCCCAAAAAAAATCACTTGGAGGGGTGGTGGCCCAGAATTCTGCATCCAGGGGCTTAGTGCAGACTTCTCAGGCTGGCCTGGAGGTGGTGCTATTTGCATGTGGTCAGTCTGGGATAATAAAGATGCTACCAGGGTATTGGATAAGAATCACTAGCTGAACTTCACTTTGCATCTCTGTAATTGGATTCAAGAGGTTAATTAGTGAAAAACAGGTGAATTTCACATAATCTTTGGAGTGGTGCAGAGGACTTTCTAACACAAAACTCACAGGCTATAAAAAGATAAGATTAACAAATTTGACTGCAAAAAAATTTCAAATTTCTATATTTAATAAACCAGCAGAAAACAAACAGCAAACTGAGAAAGAGTAGCAACTGCTGTGACAAAGGGATAATTTTCTTAATATACAAAGAGCTCTTACAAATAAATCCAATTTAAAAATGGGAAAAGGACCGGGCACGTGGCTCATGCCTGTAATCTCAGCACTTTGGGAGGCCAAGACGGCTGGATCACCTGAGGTCAGGAATTCAAGACCAGCCTGATCAACATGGTGAAATCTCTGTCTCTACTAAAAACACGCAAAATTAGCCAGGTGTGGTGGCGCACGCCGGTAATCCCAGCTACTTGGGAGGCTGAGGCAGGAGAATCACTTGATCCGAGATCGTGTCACTGCACTCCAGCCTGGGCGACAGAGGAGGAAAAAAAAAAGCAGTCATTTCATTGCAGGTGCCTCCAGTAATTGCTCAGTGCAAACATACATAACTATTCTATCACAGACCATTAAGGGTGTCTCTCTCCATTTTTAGATTTTCCGCTTGAGTTTCCAGGTAGTTTCTCACCTGTTTTCAAGCAGGGTTGGGGCAGCCGTTTCTTCAACAGCGCCAGCCGTAAAACACAAAGATGGAGGCCAACCTCCCACACCCGGGCACCCTCCCTTCCCCCATACTGAGATTGACAAGTAAGCAACCCGGTGATCAGTACTAAAATGGAGACGTCAGCCAGGTGCGGTGGCTCACACCTGTAATTCCAGCACTTTGGGAGGCTGAGGAGGAAGGATCGCTTGAGCCCAGGGGTTCGAGGTCAGCCTGGGCAACATATGGAAACCCTGTCTCTATGAAATGTAGATCCTGTCTGTGAGTGTGTGTGTATAAATAAATATATATATATATATACAAATACATACATATATATATTTAAAAAATAAAATGGGGACGTCCAACACGTGTACTAGGGGCGGTGTCTCTGCCTGGGGAGGTGGTGATGACAGGGCAGGCTCCACCCAGGAGAAGCTGGAAGAATGGGAGTTCCGCGGCAGAGGAGGCGGGGCAGGGCGTTCCTCCAAACACAGGAATACCACGTGCGAAAACAAAGGGGTGTGCGAAGACCGGGTGCATGTGTACAGCTGCAAACTGGGGGAAAGGCGCCAGGCTTGGGCGATGAGGATTTGTTCCCCCATGGATTCCCTTCCTGCCCAGGGTCCGCTCTCGCCGGTCGAGGGTGCCTAACAATACTCCTTGCCACAAGGTTCGCAGCCGAAAAGGTCCTTCAAGTCCGGCCATCCAACTTTCACTTTTTATAGACAAATATACAGAGGCCTTAGATAAGTGAAACGGCTTGTCTCGGGTTACAGCTCTAGCCAACACAGGGTTTCTGACGGTCAGTCTGCGGATTTTCCTGCCTCTGGTCCGCAGGCACTGCCCAGGCTGTCAGCCCCAAACCCTACTCCGGGGACCGCGGTCAGGTTCGTCTCCGGGCGGACTACATCTCCCACAATGCCTTGGGCCCAGCCTCCCTCCTGCCGCCCGGCTGGGTGCCGTCTCCACCAACAGAAAGGCAGAATTTCCAGGGCCGTTCTCGGCAGCCAATGAGCGCGGCGGTGGGCGGGCCTCTCCCGTCCATTGTTCTCGGTGCCCCACGGGCTTGAGCCGGGGTGAATCTGGAGGGGCCGGGCCGAGCCCGGGGGCGCTTTCGCACGCGAAGCAACCGCTAGAGCAGGACCTGGTCTCCCGAGAGGTGAGCCGGAGAGGCAGGCCTGGAGCCACGCGGACCCCGGGCAGTAGCCCGAGGTGAGGGAATAGTGGGCCTGGAGCCAGCTGCCGGCAGCTCTGCTGGGGGAGGGGCGTCGGGGTCGCGCTCCGTATCCTGCGGGCCCTGCAGCCCCGATTTACGCGCCGGCTCCGCTCAGCGAACCGTCCCGGACGCGTCTCCCTGGCGGAGAGCTCCTTGCCTCTCCTACCGAGAAGCGCAGGCTTTGGACGGGAAGGGGCATTCGACGACATCCCGCGCAGCGTACACGTTTTACAGATGGGGAAACTGAGGTTCAGAGGGGGCGTGTCGTGCCCCAAGTCAGACCGCAAATTAGCTGACCTGGCACACTTTTCCCAGGCTCCCAAGTAGGAAGAGTTCTCTTACACCATATGCCAGTATTTCTTCTAGTCATTTGAGTAAATACACGTTGAGAGCTTCGGTTTTCCCACTAGCTTTTATTTTTTGTCCTTTTTTTTTTAAGCTTTTGTCAGCTTTTCTCCCCTTTTCATTGAGGGAGGGTTGTTAGTTGAGTCTTTATGATGTAGTAATGATTTTTTAAAAAATTTTTTTATTTTTGTAGAGACTGGGTCTCACTCTGTTGCCCAGGTTGGTCATGAACTCCCGGCCTCAAGCCATCTTCCCTCCTCGGCCTCCCAAAGTGCTGGAATTACAGGCGTGAGCTACAGCGCTTGGGCTAAAAATAATTTTGTATTGCTTTTATAATATTTTAAGTCGTTTGCAATTCCACTGCTTTCAATATTTTGTAGGTGCCGTCCCGTTCTTTTTTCCTGTGAGTTCATTTTTTTTTTTTTTTTTTTTTGAGACGGAGTTTTGCTTTTGTTGCCCAGGCTGGAGTGCAATGGCCTGATCTCCGCTCACCGCATCCTCTGCCTCCCGGGTTCAAGCGATTCTCCTGCCTCAGCCTCCGGAGTAGCTGGGATTACGGGCATGCGCCACCACGCCTGGCTAATTTTGTTTTTAGTAGAGACGAGGTTTCTCCGTGTTGGTCAGGCTGGTCTCGATCTTCCGACCTCAGGTGATCCGCCCGCCTCAACCTGCCAAAGTGCTAGGATTACAGGTCTGAGCCACCGCGCCCGGCTGTGAGTTCATTTTTAAAGGGAATTGAGGACTTACTGTGTCTATGGTTTTTCTGCCCTGCTGATTTTGTGTTTATCCATTATTTTCCTATCAGAAGGATTATCTTAAATCATTAATGATTAATCTTTGTCAATATAATTTTTAAAATATTAAAAACATACAGCGTAATGTGCAGATCTTAAATTTCATATGTTTGCTCTTGTGCCGCCATTGCCAAATGAAGATATTGAAAATTTCCATCATCCCAGAAGGCTCCTTTGAGCCCCTTTCCTGTCATTACCACCTAAAGGTAGCCATTATTATAGCACAGTTTCTTTTCTTTTTTTTCCTTTTCTTTTCTTTTTTTTTTTTTTTTTTTGAGACAGAGTCTGGCTCTTTCGCCCAGACTGGAGTGCAGTGGCACGATCTCGGCTCACTGCAACCTCCTCCTCCCAGGTTCGGGCAATTCTCCTGCCTCAGCCTCCTGAGTAGCTGGGATTACAGGCGCCCGTCACCATGCCTGGCTAATTTTTGTATTTTTGGTAGAGACGGGGTTTCACTATATTGGCCAGGCTGGTCTCGAACTCCTGACCTCAAGTGATCCGCCTGCCGAGGCCTCCCAAAGTGCTGGGATTACAGGCAACCACGCCAAGCCTATAGCACAGTTTCTAATACATGCTGCTATATGGGTGTGTCATAGTTTATTAGCCATTCCCTGCTGCTGGATTTTTAAGGACTCGATTTTTTGGTTATTTTTTTAAGATAAAGTACTGAGGGGCCGAGGCTGGATTGGAGAGTATATGCATGTTTTAAACTTCATACTTAAAGTATGGTAATAATGCAGTTGAGATATTGCCTTTCTTCCAAAGAAGCTCAGAGTGCTTTGACATCTGATCCATTGCTGATCCTTAAGATGCCCCCATAAAAACAGAAACATGAGTGTTATTATCTTTATTAGGTGGTCACCGAGTTTGGTGACTAAGTTGTATGTTAGGTCAAGGTCACACAGTGCAAGTCGAAACTGACTTAGGAGAGTCCTCAGTATTTCAGTCATGGGTTTTTCCCGGGGACTTTGCATTTCTGATACTCATTCTTTGGTGTTTTGGAAGGAACAATGCTGTATTTTTTGTGCTTGGGATACTTTTTTTTTTTTTTTTTTGAGACGGAGTCTCACTCTGTTGCCTGGGCTGGAGTGCAGTGGCGAGATCTGTGCTCACTGCAACCTCCGCCTCCTGGGTTCAAGAGATTCTCCTGCCTCAGCCTCCCAAGTAGCAGGAACTACAGGCCCCCGCCACCACGCCCGGCTAATTTTTGTATTTTTAATAGAAATGGGGTTTCACCATACCTCAGGTGATCCGCCCACCTCGGCCTCCCAAAGTGCTGGGATTACAGGCATGAGACACTGCACCCAGCCTTCTTTTACCACAGAGAGATGTTTTCAGGAATAAGCCATTTTTTCTTTAAGAAGAACAGGAAACGTCTGTTGGTTTGCATATGTAAGGGCCACTTGGTGGTCTGACCTGGGCTTTTGTGAGTTAGATTGCTTTAGGACAGTCTACCTATGGATTATGGTTCTCTTTTTTGTTTCTCAGCGGGACTACTTGTTGATATTTGAGGAGGGAAGTGTCTTACCTGAGAGCCTGGCTGGAGAAGACTGAGGTCCAAGGCTTGAAGCCTAAGTGATTGCCCCAGGACTGTGGATGATGGCTGCAGACATCCCGAGAGTGACCACTCCGCTGAGCTCCTTGGTCCAGGTGCCTCAAGAGGAAGATAGACAGGAGGAGGAGGTCACCACCATGATCCTGGAGGATGACTCCTGGGTGCAAGAAGCTGTGCTGCAGGAGGATGGCCCTGAGTCTGAGCCCTTTCCCCAGAGTGCTGGCAAGGGCGGCCCCCAGGAGGAGGTGACCAGGGGACCACAGGGTGCACTCGGCCGCCTCCGAGAGCTCTGCCGGCGCTGGCTGAGACCAGAGGTACACACCAAGGAGCAGATGTTAACCATGCTGCCAAAGGAAATTCAGGCTTGGCTGCAAGAGCATCGGCCTGAAAGCAGTGAGGAGGCAGCGGCCCTGGTGGAAGACTTGACCCAGACCCTTCAGGACAGTGGTGAGACGCAGAACCTCATAGGGAGAGGGCGGGAGCACCCTTCCAAGGTAGAGGAGTGTGGTGTTTCGGAGGAGGAGAAGGTGGTGTCCAAGGCAGAGTGGGGGGCTAGCGCCATCCCTCTGCTCTGTCTGCAGGCAGTCAGCGTGTTCATCAGCCTTTTAGTGTCCTCACTGTGTGCAAAGTCAGCTCCAGAAGTGCTAGGAGGGCCTTAGAGCTACATTTGAATTGTAAGCACAGTTTTTACTTCTGTGTTTATTTGGAGTGGTTGGGAAGGTGATGGAAGTTAAACGGGAGGAGATGGAGACCCCTGGCACCTTCACGTGGTTGTGCAAGAAACATCCAAATGGTTCTTGCAATTAGAGAAAACAATCTGATATTTTCAACATGACTTTTTTTTCTTTTTTCTTTTTTTTTTTTTTTTTGAAACGGAGTCTCGCTCTGTCACCCAGGCTGGGGTGCAGTGGCACAATCTTGGCTCACTGCAACCTCCGTCTTCTGGGTTCAAGCAGTTCTCCTGCCTCAGCCTTTTGAGTAGCTGGAATTACAGGCGTGCGCCACCACGCCCGGCTAATTTTTTTATTTTTCGTAGAGATGGGGCTTCACCATGTTCGCCAGACTGGTCTCAAGCTCCTAACCTCGTGATCCGCCCACCTCAGCCCCCGAAAGTGCTGGGATTACAGGCGTGAGTCACCACGCCTGGCCCCAAAGTGGTTATTTTTATGAAACCAAGAGAAATGACAAGTAAACCAGCTAATAACTAGGGACTTTCTGTGGTATAAAGTAATCCTGGGCTCTTAAAATCGTAATTTCAAACTTGAGCTCTTTGCAATAGTTACTCTATTTTTTTCCGGTGTTACTAATAAGTATTGGGATTCTGGCTTGCCGTTTAACCGCTGTCTCCCTCCTGGTTTTCCATTGTAAAGTAGACTCACTTGATGACCAAATGTTTACTTCAGATGTGCCTTGAGGGCTGTCTCAGGGCTCGAAGGATATGGCTGCCTTTGTGCTGATGAAAACTACGGAAGTTCAGAGAAGGGAGCGTGGAGAGGAAAGGTCAGGTCAGAGAAGGCTTCCTGGAGGAGGTGACACCTAAGCAGGAGGTTGTAGAAGGGAGTAGGGTGTGGCAGCTGAGAGGAGCTGTGCTGAGCAGAGGCTTGGAAGGGCAGAGCCACGGTGGTTTATACCTTTGGGTGACAGGAGAGCTGGCAGATTGGAGTGGCAAGTGTGTTTTTAGGAAGTGGTAGGAAGTAGAGTTTGGGGGAAGGGTGGGTGAGGGCTTGGACTGAATGTTTTGCCTCAGTGGGTTCTTGAACTAGACCCCCAAGGGGCATGGAAGGAAGCGGAGTTTGGCAACAGGATGTAGGTTTGATTAGGGTAGTGAGAGGCTAGGGGCAGGAGAGCAGCCAGGAAGCTCCCTTGTCTTCAGGTGTGCAGTGATGGGGGTCTGCCCCAGATGGGGCACGTGTGAGAAAGAACTGATAGTCACCATGGCTAGCACTTTCCAAGCTCTTTCTGCAAGCCAGGAAATATGCTTAGCATCTAATATGGAAAACTCATGTAATCTTCACCACCCTGGAAGATAAGCAGGATTATCATCACCAGAGATCCCTTAAGATCATGTGCCTTTGTACCAGGCAGAACCAAGATTTGAACTTATGTGTGTGAGGACATAGCCCATGTTTTTAAGCGTTGTCATATGTATGATTCTAAGAGACACTTCCTAGTGGGTGTTGGAAGTTGGGGATGCAGATGGAATTAAGACAGTGACTACAGAGCATCTGGCCTGGAGGATTCAGAGGACTGGGAAGAGAAGAGAAGGAAACTGAAGGGGATTTGGGGCAGAGACTATCACAAACTCCAGGGACTGGGTGAATGAGTAGAGCTGTCCTCTGGAGAAAGGGACTGACGCCGAAGGTCTGCAGTGACCCAGCCCTGCCCTGGGCACCTTCATGCTTGTCTCACTAAGAATCCTGTGAGTGGCTGGCATTGTCATTTCACAGATAGGAAATATAAGTGCAGGAAACTCACATGGCTGTTGAGTGGTGGAGCCAGGATTCAAACCCAGACCTGTCTCTTTCTGCATGGAGATCTCAGTTTTGCTTGAAGCAAAGTGCTTGATTTTCTTTGGCCCTGAAAAAATAACTGCATTTTATTCCTTCTATTAAAATAAGCAAACCTGTCTCCCTATTTTACAGCTGTAGCTGTCGTTGCTTCCCTTCCGGTGGAGGTGACCAGTTTGTAATGAACTTCTGGATCTCCAGTCAGATACTATGGAGGAGAGAGTGATGGAGGGCTGAGGAGAGGCCTCAGGTTGTTATTTGGTTGGGGAGGCACAGAGCAGAGGTTCAGGTCTCAGCAGGTGTCAGAGGTGATTACAGCCCTTCCCATCCACCTTGCAGCAGGGGCTTTGTGCCTTTCATCTTTAACTGGGCACCTGAGATGGGAACCAATGGGGACCATCCCAGACACATGGGTTTGTCTGTCCCTGACTTCTGCCTCTGAGATTGTCTTTGTTGGTCTTTGTTTAATAAACGCCCCGACCTTCCTCATGATTGCTCACAGGAGTCCCTGCGTTTGTCTTCATCCCTTCTCAAACATTTACTCGACATAAGGCCGCGTGACCTCTATTCTGTTTGTCCAGCTTATGACCTTTGGACACATTCACCCAGCACAGGATATTTCCAGGCCTGGTTAGTCAGTGGCGGTTTAATGTTTTTCTGACAGGAACCTCTGGGCACTCAAAATTCAAGTACCTTCTAATTCTAATGAAGATCGGACCTATATTAATAGATTAAGTGGCAGAGCTTATGTCTCTCTGTGACTGTTTCCAGAGGACATTTTACTCTCCATACCCAGCCCTAATCCAGATGCGTGGAGTTTCTCACCTGAATTCTTGGAGCAGCTGCCAAACTGAACCTGTCTTCAGCTTCTGCCCCTTCATCCCAGCTCTTCCACTTCTACCAGAGTGATGGGGCACTCCTGCTTAAAAACCTTCATGAGCTTCCCAGTATCTACCAAATCAAGCATGACCTCCTTGTTCTGCTTGGAATCCGTGGCTCTGTGGGACCTGGCCCAAACCTCCCCTGCAGTCTTTTCCCACCCCTGACCCCCCATGCTCTATCCCCACTCCATTCAGACCAGATCTTGCTCTTTCTTGAACACAGCCTGTGCTTTTGTTTTTGTTTTTGTTTTTTTGAGACGGTCTTTCTACGTTCCCCAGGCTGGAGTGCAGTGGTGCCATCTGGGCTCACTGCAACCTCCACCTCCTGGGTTCAAGTGATTCTCCTGCCTCAGCCTCCCAAGTAGCTGGGATTACAGGTGCGTGCTACCGTGCCCAGCTAATTTTTGTATTTTTAGTAGAGACAGAGTTTCACCACGTTGGTCAGACTGGTCTCGAACTCCTGACCTCAGGTGATCCACCCACCTTGGCTTCCCAAAGTGCTGGGATTACAGGCGTGAGCCACCACGCCTGGCCCTTGCTCCTGGATTTTTGGCTTGGAATAGCCTTGTCCCATCTCTGTGATAAAATCCCAGTTGTTCTTTGAGTGCCCACCCGTGGAGACCCTCTTCATAAAGCTGCTCTTAAACCCTGTCCCTTTTCCCCATCCCCAGTTCCACACACCTGGGAGCACCTCTAATCACCTCTGCTAGAAGTCGTCTCCCCCAGAACATTTGGATTCTCTCTCTTGGCTTTTTATCATAGTTCACCTTCTTTTCTGTTTATATGAATACTTGTCTTATTTCTTCTAGGAACCTGTAAAATCCTAGAAGACAAGGAACCTGTCTTTTTCCTTTCTCTTTCATTCCCCCTCTTCCCTCTCTTCCACCCTACTCCCTCTTCCTTTCCCTCTCCCTTCAGTATCATGAACCTCGGAGCCCCACCCTAGAACTCCTGAATCAGACACTTTGAGGGTGGCTGGGCGCAATGGCTCACGGCTGTAATCCCAGCACTTGGTGAGGCCGAGGCGGGTGGATCACTCGAGGCCAGGAGTTCGAGACCAGCCTGGCCAACATAGTGAAACCCTGTCTCTGCTAAAAATACAAAAAAAATCAGCCAGGCATGGTGGCATGTGCCTGTAATCCCAGCTACTTGGGAGGCTGAGGCAGGAGAATCGCTTGAACCTGGGAGGCGGAGGTTGTAGTGAGCTGAGATTGCGCCATTGCACTCCAGCCTGGGTGACAGCAAGACTCTGTCTCAAAAAAAAAAAAAAAAAAAAGAAACTGAGGGCGATGCCCAGCATTCTAAGTGATCCTGATTCAAACTCCAATTTGAGAACCTCTGCACTAGACCTCTGTAGACCTCTGGTTCTCAAACTCAGCCGCACATTAGAATTACCTGGGGGCCTGGAGCCTACTCCAGGGATTCTAATTTTCTGATTTAATTGGTATGGGGTATGGCCTGGGCAAGGGAGTTTTGAAAGTGCCCAGGTAGTTCTATTATGCTGCAAAGTGTAAAGAGCACTGCCATAGAGCTTTGTTCTTCAGGGGGTGGTCAGTGGGCCAGCAGCATCAGCTCACCTGGGAGTTTGTTAGACTAGGACTGTCAGTCTCACCAAGCCCCGCTGAAGCAAATTTGCATTTGACAAGATCTCCAGGTGATTCCTATGCTCTTTGAAGTTTGAAAAGCACTACCCAGGAGAGGAATAGAGGTTATCAACTTCAAGCCTACTCTTGTCCAACAGTTGAGTGAAAGAGTCACAGCTGACCTCTCCAGCCATCCTCAGCATCATCTGGCTTTCAGCCATCAGAGGCAACAGGTGATTTGTTTTGAGCTTGCTGCCCCAGCAAAATGCTCCCTTAATGACCACAAATGAACACATACATTCATTTGTCTCAGCCAGAAAGGGAGTGGAGAGTGTTACAGCTTATGTCTTTTTAAAGCTACAATTCTTAGCTTCAAAACAAAATTACTTTTATATATATATATACACATATATATCTATGATATATATCATATATGATATATGAGATATATGATATATCTCATATGATATATATATGAGAGAGAGACAAAGTCTCACTCTGTCAACCCAGGCTGGAGTGCACTGGTGTGATCATAGCTCACTATAACCTCGAACTCTTGGCCTCAAGTGGTCCTCCTGTTTCAGCCACCCAAAGCACTGCGATAACAGGAATGAGCCACTGTGCCCAGCCCAAAAATTACCTTTAATTTACTCAAATGTTTGAAAAGTATACCGGACAGAATTCTTAGGGAGCGGTAACGTTATACCTATGAAATGTTTAGCATTCATGTATTTCACCTGATAACAGTCCATTGCTGTTTTTATCAGCAGTTAGTCTTTCAAGCAGCCAGAGTTCAGGGGGAACAATGCTCCCAGTCCCACTGGGCTTGCCAGGGCAGCGCTCTAATGGGGAGAGCCCTAGTGAGAATGGAGCTGGGCATACCCTATATCAGAACCACTTCTCTATTTTAGACCAGTGGCTGAGACACAGGGGTAGGACACAATCAGGCAGGAAGGGGCTGGAGAAGAATTTTGAGCCAAACACACACCAAAGCACCAAAGACTGTGACCAGTTTATTTCATTGTTACAGCAAAGTCAGGTCTATCCCCTATTGACATGAGTCTTCCCCATGTTCATTCTGGTATGCTCTATGGTGCGGGAGAGAAAGAGGAGGCCTGTGGCCAGGCGAGGACACGCAGGGCCCTGTGAACGGCCACGGGAATTTGTGCTGTGCACGTGAGGCCAGAGCTCACGTGGCAAGTGCGAGAAATACAAGGACCGTTGGCTGAGATTGAGCTACGGTGGCAGCTTTTGTCCACTGACAGATAAGGGGAGAGGTCCTGTGGCCCTTCAGGGACTGTTCCAGTGAATGATTTTTGGACAGTGGTCAAATCATTTTGAAAAAACTAAAATTGGATACCTACTTTGCAGCTTACAAAGAAATAGATCCCTGCTTTACAAGTTACACAAAAATAGGTCCCAGATGGATTACAGATCTGTAATAGACAGGATCTGAAATGACATGTGAGAGAATATTTTTGTAATCTTAGCATGCGGGAAGGACTTTCATGTTTGTTTGACAGGAACCTCTAGGCACTCACAATTCAAGTATGAAGTGTGAATAAGCAATACAGAAGTCATCAAAGCTAGATTGGACTCAAAACAGAAGTCTTTCTTTCTTTCTTTCTTTCTTTTTTTTTTTTTTTTTTGAGATGGAGTCTCACCCTGTCGCCCAGGCTGGAGTGCAGTGGCGCCATCTCGGCACTGCAACCTCCACCTCCAGGGTTCAAGTGATTCTCCTGCCTCAGCCTCCCGAGTAGGTGGGACTACAGGCACCCACCACCACTCCCGGCTAATTTTTGTATTTTTAGAAGAGATGGGGTTTCACCATGTTGGTCAGGCTGGTCTCAATCTCCTGAACTCAGGCAATTCGCCCGCCTCTGCCTCCCAAGGTGCAGGGATTACAGGCGTGAGCCACTGCACCCAGCCAAAACAGAAGTGTTTCATATAAAAAACGATACTGTGAATCAAAAGACAGCATACACATTAGGAGGAAATATTTGCATCCAAGTCTAATGTAGCAGATCATGAGTCAAAATCCTTGATCTACAAGAGCCTCTGCAAATTCATAAGAAAAGTCAACCAAATAGAATAAAAGGTAAAAGATATAAACAATTTAGAAATGAAGAACTAAAAATTATGAAAATATGTTCTGGCCAGGTGTGGTGGCTCACGCCTGTTATCCCAGCACTTTGGGAGGCCAAGGTGGGTGGATCACGAGGTCAGGAGTTCAAGACCAGCCTGGCCAACATGGTGAAACCCCATCTCTACGAAAAATACAAAAAAAATTAGCCGGGCATGTGGTGGTGTGCACCTGTAATCCCAGCTACTGGGGAGGCTAAGTTAGGAGAATTGCTTGAACCCAGGAGACAGAGATCACGCCACTGCACTCCAGCCTGGGTGACAGAGCAAGACTCCGTCTCCAAAAAAAAAATTTTTTTCTTTTTAATTAGCCAGGCATGGTGGCACACACCTATAGTCCCAACTACTTGGGGGCTGAGGTGGGAGGATCACTTGAGCCTGGGAGGTCAAGACTTAAGTGAGCCAAGATCCCACCACTGCACTCCAGCCTGGGAGACAGTGATATACTGTCTCAAAAAACAACAACAGGCCAGTCGTGGTGGCTCACACTGTCATCCCAGCACTTTGGGAGGCTGAGGTGGGTGGATCACCTGAGGTCAGGAGTTTGAGACCAACCTGGCCAACGTGGTGAAACCTCATCTCTACTAAAAATAAAAAAATTAGCTGGGAGTGATGGCAGGCGCCTGTAATCCCAGCTACTCAGGAGGCTGAGGCAGGAGATTCGCTTGAACCTGGGAGGCAGAGGTTGCCAAGATCGCGCCACTGCACTCCAGCCTAGGCGACAGAGCGAGACTGTCTCAAAAAACACAAAACAAAACAGAAAAGCAAGAACAACAAAAAAGTGGATGTCTGGGCCATCCAGCCTCTTACTCATAAGCCTGCTTCCTTAGAAGCCGCCTCCCTACATCTACTCATATCCACAGAATGTGCTCCTCTTGGCATCCTGGAGTAGCCAAAGCCATTGCTATCAGTAAAAAAATTTTTTTTTAATTCCCAGCTGCCACCATCTCCTCTCATCTCCATTCACAACGTGGTAAGAATATTATTTTTGTATCTGACCAAAACCAGTTTCTGAGTTTTCATTTTCTTAATTGGCCACCAATAAATAAAGGAGGGACTCACCTGCCCTTGAACGTGCTCTGCTGTGTGCTCTGGATCTCATAGGGGCCAGCCTTTCTCAGGGAGCCTGGAGGGGGCCAGGGATCCCTTATTCTTCCCAGCTCAGTGACTTTTTCCCATTTTGGAGGCCCTTGTCAGTCAGATCACCTGAAGGGCCACTCTTTTCTGTCCTGTAGAATGACTCCTGTGTCTCTCTGGTCTTAGAGGGCAACTTGTGAAGAACTGCCAACCTTCCTTTGGTCTTCGCTGGATAGCAGCGGTGTTTGTAAAGATAGGACTGGTCTTTGAGCAGTACAGTGAAGGGGTTATTGGGCCTGGATTCTACTCAGAGGGACCTCCTTAGTGAGGTTTATGATATTTATGTTATACAGCAATGTAGAAATGACCTTCTAAAGGCCAGGAGCGGTAGCTCATGCCTGTAATCCGAGCACTTTGGGAGGCCGAGGCAGGTGGATCACGAGGTCAGGAGATCGAGACTATCCTGGCTAACACGGTGAAACCCTGTCTCTACTAAAAATACAAAAAAATTAGCCGGACGTGGTGTCCGGCGCCTGTAGTCCCAGCTACTCGGGAGGCTGAGGCAGGAGAATGGCGTGAACCCGGTAGGCGGAGCTTGCAGTGAGCCGAGATCATGCCACTGTACTCCGGCCTGGAAGACAGAGTGAGACTGCGTCTCAAAAGAAAAAAAAAAGGGGGAAATGACATTGTAACCAAAATTGGGGTTGGGAGGAATAAGGTGGTTTTATAGGATATGTTCTTTGATTGTCTTGTATGTAATACCTGGGAGTTCAAAGACTTGACATTTAAAAGAAGATAGCCCCATAAATTAAGTATCGCACTTAAAGGCTGCCAGATTTTAAAGAAATTCTTTCATATGTTCATCTAATAGTTTGATGCTGCTATTTGGGTTTTTTGTTTTAACATTTAAATCTTAGATCCATTTGGGATTTGTCCGTTTCTGGGTCCAGCTTGAATTTTTCCATTTGAATTGAATTTTTCCAGTTTTCCGTAACTAGTTCTTCCAGCATCATTTATTGTATGTTGTGTCTCTTCTCCATGGATTTAAGAGGCCAACCGTATTGTATGCTAAATTTTCATAGTCATTATACAGATTATCTTTTCTCTTCTCTTGGCCTGTCTATTTCTGTTCCACTTGTATTAAATTCTGAACTTACATATCTATTGAATCTATTTCTGGAGTTTTTATTTTGTTTATTTGGTCTGATTGTCTATTAATGTTTTAATTATTGAGATTTCATAATGTTTTTGTTTTTGTTTTTGAGACGGAGTCTCGCTCTGTTGCCCAGGCTGGAATGCAGTGGCACAATCTCGGTACACTGCAACCTCTGCCTCCTGGGTTCAAGCAATTCTCCTGCCTCAGCCTCCCAAGTAGGTGGGATTACAGGCGCCCGCCACCACACCCAGCTAATTTTTGTATGGGGTTTCACCATGTTGGCCAGGGTAGTCTAGAACTCCTGACCTCAGGTGATTCACTCGCCTCGGCCTCCCAAAGTTTTGGGATTACAGGCGTGAGCCACTGCACCCGGCCGAGATTTCATAATGTTTTAACATCTGACAGAGATAGTCCCTCTCCCCTCCAATTTTAGTCAGTAATCTTTCTTTTTTTTTTTTTTGAGATAGAATCTCAGTCTGTCACCCAGGCTGGAGTGCAGTGGCACGATCTCTGCTCACTGCAACCTCCACCTCCTGGGTTCAACGATTCAACGATTCTCCTGCCTTAGCCTCCCAACTAGCTGGGATTACAGGCATGTACCACCATGCCCAGCTCATTTTTGTATTTTTAGTAGAGATGGGGTTTCACCATGTTGGCCAGGCTGGTCTTGAACTCCTGAGCTTGCGATCCGCCCACCTCTGCCTCCCAAAGTGCTGAGATTACAGGTGTGAGCCACTGCTCTTGGCCTCTTTTTTTTTTTTTTTTTTTTTTTTTCAGAGACAGAGTCTCACTCTGTCACCCAGGCTGGAATGCAGTAGCATGATCATAGTTTACTATAATCTCAAACTCCTGGCCTCAAGCAATCCTCCCACCTCAGGTTCCTGAGTAGCTGGGACTACAGGCAAGTGCCAACACACCCGGCTAATTCTGTTTTTTTTTGTAGAGATGAGGTCTTGGCTGTGTTGCTCAGGCTGGTCTTGAACTCCTGGCCTCATGCAGTCCTCTCACCTCAGCCATCCAAAGTGCTGGGATTGCAAGCAATAATCTTATCTTTTTTAGTGTTTATTTTTGCAAACCTCTACTTAGCTGCATGCTTTACCAGTTTTAAATGTGAATTCTTTGAACTCCCAGGTTATTACAGATGAGGCAATCAACGAACATATCCTATAAACCACCTTATTTCTCCCAACCCCAGTTTTGGTTAGAATGTCATTTCTACACTGCCGCATAACATTCACAAGCTCTTTAATCACCCCAGTTGCCATGGTAGTTTTAGTCTTCATTCTAAAGTTAAATTTATTAGGTGTTCACCCCTCTAGCAGTCCATTAATTTGTGTATGTTCAAAGCTGTTTGCCTATAGGTTTATACTTGAAGGACAGTTTTGTCGAATATAGAGAAATCTTTTTTTTTTCCTGAGATAGAGTCGCCCAGGCTGGAGTGCAGTGGCGCGATCTCAGCTCACCACGACCTCCACCTCCTGGGTTCAAGCAGTTCTCCTGCCTCAGCCTCCGGAGTAGTTGGGATTACAGTCACGTGCCACCACACCCAGCCTGAATATAGAGAAATCTGAAACCAGTTGATTTTCTTTCCCCTTGTAAGTGATTTGATCCTTTTGCTGTTGTCCACTGGTCTTACTGTTAGCCACCCTGGGTTAGTTTTTGTTGGCCCATGGTGTAACTTTCACATGTTCTTATATCCTTACAGGTTTTATCTTTAAGTATTAGTTCTTTTTTTTTTTGAGACGGAGTCTCACTGTGTCGCCCAGGCTGGAGTGCAGTGGTGTGATCTCAGCTCACTGTAACCTCCGCCTCCCGGGTTCAAGCGATTCTCCTGCCTCAGCCTCCTGGGTAGCTGGGACTACAGGCATCTGTCACCACACCCAGCCAATTTTTGTATTTTTTTAGTAGAGACGGGGTTTCACCATATTGGCCAGGCTGATCGTGAACTGCTGACCTTGTGATCCGCCTGCCTCAGCCCCCCAAAGTCCTGGGATTACAGGCGTGAGCCACCACGCCTGGCCTTTAAGTACTAGTTCTATTGCTTTGTTTTTTTGAGAACTCCAGTTATGTTTACTGATTCTCCTTTTGCCTAACTTCTGTTTCTATCTTTTTGTTTAAGATAGGGTCTCACTCTGTCACCCGGGCTGGAGTCCAGTGGTGCAAATATGGCTCACTGCAGCCTCTGCCTCCTGGCCTCAAGCAATCGTCCTGCCTTGGCCTCTTAAGTAGCTGGGTCTACAAGTGTGTACAGCCACACCTGGCTAATTTTTGTATTTTTTGTAGAGATGGGGTGTTGCCATGTTTCCTAAGTTGTCCCAAACTGCTGGGCTCAAGCAATCCACCTGTCTTGGCCTCCCAAAGTGCTGGGATTACAGACCTGAGCCAACGCGCCTGGCCCTCTGTCATTCTTTTTAATCCTTTTAACCTATTCCTTTGTTTCCATTTCCTGTCATTGCTTTCTTATTTTGGTCCTCTTTTTCCCATTCTTGGAATGGTGCTTTCCAAGATGCCTATTCCCATTGCGCTCCTTTTCCTGTTGTCTTCATTTCTCTGGCTGATTTTCCCTCCTTTCCTGAGTTCTTCTAGTGTACATTTAATCTCTTCCTGTTGTCTCACCATCCCTTCTTCAAGCTCTTCTCTGTGGTATTCCTTTATAAAGGCAGTTGCCTCATTTAATTATTTTTATGGATGGAAATGATCACTTTTCTCAGTAATAGTAATTCCTTGGGCCGGGCTCCAGCCTATAATCCCAACACTTTGGGAGGCCGAGGCAGTTGGATCATTTGAGGTCAGGAGTTCGAGACCAGCCTGGCCAACATGGCGACACCCCATCTCTATTAAAAATACAAAAACAATGAGCCGGGGGTGGTGGTGTGCACCTGTAATTCCAGCTTGTCAGGAGGCTGAGGCAGGAGAATCGCTTGAACCTGGGACGCAGAGGTTGCAGTGAGCCAAGATAGTGCCACTGCACTCCAGCCTGGGTGACAGAGTGAGACTTCATCTCAAAAAAATAAATAAATAAATACCTTGGATTAATGTGCGTGGGTCAAAGGCTCTTTCCTTCTCTGCTTTCCAGAAACAGCTTCCTGCGTACATGGCTGCCCTGTGTGATTCCAGTTGCAGCCTCACCTCCTTTGCCTCTCTGAACCAAAGAAGCCAGCCCTGCTTACCCCAGTTCCCAAACACAGGAAGTGATTTTCTGCCTGAGCTTTCTGAGTTCTGTTCCCTCCCACCCCAGGGCTCTCCATGCTTATTCATTGCATTTCCTTCCTCATTGCTTTTACCCAGTCTGCTGTTTTGGGAAGCCCTGACATGTATTTTGGTGCCTACATATTTTATCTTCTGATCTCACTGAAAATAAAATTGGATTTTACTTGTTTTCCTTGTTGCTTCCGAGCTCATTGGAGAGCTAACCAGTTCTGATTTTAAAACAGCAAAAACAGCCTTATTAGCTAATGTTACCTATTCAATTACTAAAATCACCCAAAAAAATGTTTTTGGTCATGTTAGTTTGCTAAAAATTAATCAGGGTCTTGGCCTGCAGGTTCTTCTAGAAGAGAGATGCTGGCAGGGCTCTGTGCTCAAAACTTGCCAAAAAACTGTCTTCCGGCCAGACATGGCAGCTCACGCCTATAATCCCAGCACTCTAGGAGGCGGAAGTGGGCAAATCACCTGAGGTTGGAAGTTCGAGACCTGCCTGACCAACATGGAGAAACCCTGTCTCTACTAAAAATACAAAATTAGCCAGCCATGGTGGCACATGCCTGTAATCCCAGTTAATTGGGAGGCTGAAGCAGGAGAATTGCTTGAACCCGGGGAACAGAGGTTGCGGGGAGCCAGGATCGCGCCACTGCACTCCAGCCTGGGCAACAAGAGCGAAACTCTGTCTCAAAAAAGAAAAAAAAAAAAACTGTCTTCCATGGCCAGGCGCAGTGGCTCACGCCTCTAATCCCAGCACTTTGGGAGGCCAAGGCGGGCGGCTCACTTGAGGTCAGGAGTTTGAGACCAGCCTGGCCAACGTGGTGAAACCCTATCTCTACTAAAAATACAAAAATTAGCCAGGCGTGTTGGCGTGCGCCTGTAGTACCAGCTACTCAGGAGGCTGAGGCAGGAGAATTGCTTGAACCTGGGAGGCGGAGCTTGCCCTGAGCCAGGATCGCGCCACTGCACTCCAGCCTGGGTGACAGAGTGAGACTCCAAAAAAAAAAAGACTGTCTTGCAGGAAGTTGAGGAAACACAGAATTCCTGGTTCTGCCGAGTCAGAGTATACCTTGTGCCCCTTGTGCCTGTATCTGTCCCCTAGTGATATGAGGGGTGGGGCTGGAGGGCAATTCTGTGAACCCACAGATTACCAGCAGCATGTGTCAGTGTAAGCATGGAGTTTAATTATATGCCTGTTTTCAACTTTAAAGGTGATCTTATGGCCAGGCATGGTGGCTTATGCCTATCATCCCAGCACTTTGGGAGGCCAAGGCAGGAGGATCACTCAAGCCCAGGACTTTGAGACTAGCCTGGGCAACATAGCAAAACCCCATCTCTACAAAAATACAAAAAAATTAGCTGGGTGTGGTGGCATACACCTGTGTAATCCCAGCTACCTGCAAGGCTAAGGTGGGAGCGTCACCTGAGCCCAGGAAGTTGAGGCTACAGTGAGCTGCGATCTCGCTACTGTACTACCGCCTCGGTGACAGACTAAGACCTTGTCTCAAAAAAATAAAAAATAAAAATAAATGTGATCTTAAATTGACTGAAGGCAAGAGTGGAGCCCAGGTCCTGCCTGAGAGGGGCATGTCCAATTTTATCATGTTCATATGTAAGAGTTTATATTAACTTACAGAAAATTAATTGAGCATCTAACCTTAAATAAAGTTTTTTAGCTTTAATAATAGAAATGTCACTAGGAGTTCGAGCGCGATAGCTCACACCTGTAATCCCAGCACTATAAGAGGCCCAGGCGGGCGGATCACCTGAGGTCAGGAGTTTGAGACCAGCCTGGCCAACATAGTGAAACCCCATCTCTACTAAAAATACAAAAATTAGCTGGGCGTGGTGGTGTGCGCCTGTAGTCCCAGCTACTCTGGAGGCTGAGGCAGGAGAATCTCTTGAACTCGGGAGGCTGAGGTTGCAGTGAGCCTAGATCTCGCCACTGCAGTCCAGGCTGGGTGACCAAGTGAGACTCTGTCTTAAAAAATAGAAAAAAGTGCAGCTTTTTTTAGGATTGAGGTCAAGAGGGAAATTTCCTCCTCAGGCTCATCAAGAGGACATTGTGTGGTATAAACAATGTCATCAACAACTTCCTGGCAGCATTAATGTTCCCAACAGCCATTAATTTTTTTTTTTTTTTTCGAGACAGAGTCTTGGCTCTGTTGCCCAGGCCGGAGTGCAGTGGCGTGATCTTGGCTCACCAAAGCGTCCACCTCCTGGGTTCTAGTGATTCTCCTGCCTCAGCCTCCCAAGTAGCTGGGATTACAGGTGCCTACCACCATGCCCAGCTAATTTTTTTGTATTTTTATTAGAGACGGGGTTTCACCATGTTGGTCAGGCTGGTCTCAAACTCCTGATCTCAGATAATCTACCCACCTTGGCCTCCCAAAGTGCTAGGATTACAGGCGTGAGCCACCATGCCCGGTGTCAGTCATTAATTTCTAATGACACTTCTTAGAGTGTCAGCCAGGGCTATGAAGCCAACACACTATTCAGTAAACACAGTTCTGCCGGGGGTCAGAACAGTGTGATCCAGGCTCAGCTCTCTGCTGCTTTGGCCTCATCCTCGGGTAGATTTTACAGTCCCTCATCTAAGGAAGGGGCTATGTTCTTCTAGCAGTCCTCCCTAATGATTTCTTTTACTCAAATATTTGGGCACTGGAAGGTTTAACAAGTTCCTGGAAGACATATTACCAATTAAAGATCTATTCATGGCTGGGCGCGGTGGCTCACGCCTGTAATCCCAGCACTTTGGGAGGCCGAGGCGGGCGGATCACAAGGTCAGGAGATCGAGACCATCCTGGCTAACATGGTGAAACCCCGTCTCTCTAAAAATACAAAAAATTAGCCGGGTGTGGTGGTGGGCGCCTGTAGTCCCAGCTACTCGGGAGGCTGAGGCAAGAGAATGGCGTGAACTGGGGAGGCGGAGCTTGCAGTGAGCCGAGATCGCGCCATTGCACTCCAGCCTGGGCCACACAGCGAGACTCCGTCTCAAAAAAAAAAAAAAAATCTATTCATAAGCTCCCACTGCAGACAAATTTGAGGGCTCTTTTAACAATCCAGTTAACTTGCTTCTAGTCATTGGTATACACACCTAGGGTCCTTATTGCACGGGCTCTGTCATCTTTCCTGTGTCTAAATACAAAGTAATGCGGTCATAAACACCAGATACATGTCAATACAAGAAATTATTATATAAGCTCCTTTTGAAAGGAGACTGAGCTTTAGGGAAATGTCTATGGTACCAATAAAAAAACTCATTCATGCACTCATTACATTGAATCAAGCACCAGGCATTATGGTGAGTGTGGGGGTAATTGGGTAGGTACCCTGTTTATGTCCTTTAAAATTCCCACCTGACCTCATTTTCAGATGAAGACACAGGTAGTGGGGACATGGAACCCAAATCTTTAAGGCTTTGAAATTCTGGGTGATTGCCACAAAGATTATGAGGCCTGACAACCAGTCAGAATGAAATAAGCCTGGGTTGGTTTTTTTTTTTTTTTTTTTCCATCAGCTTTTAGGTTCAGGGGTACATGTGCAGGATGTGCAGGTTTGCTACAAAGGTAAATGCGTGCCATGGTGGTTTACTGCACAGGTCATCCCACCACCTAGGTATTAAGCCCAGCATCCATTAGCTATTCTTCCTGATGCTCTCCCTCCCCCTCCCCCACAGGCCCCAGGGTGTGTTATTTCCCTCCATGTGCTCATGTGTTCTCTTCATTCAGCTCCTGCTTATAAGAGAAAAGATGCAGTGTTTGGTTTTCTGTTCCTATGTTAGTTTGCTGAGGATAATGGCTTCCAATTCCATTCATGTCCCTGCAAAAGATATGATCTCATTCTTTTTTTTGGCTGCATAGTATACCATGGTGTATATGTACTACATTTTCTTCATCCAATCTATCATTGATGGGCATTTGGGTTGATTCTATGTCTTTGCTATTGTGAATAGTGCAGCATTGAACATGTGTGTGCATGTATCTTTATAATAGAATGATTTATATTCCTTTGGGTATATTAAACCTGATTATTAAAGGCTTTGAGGATTTTCTAGCCTCTTTGTGTTCACTGGAAGTTTAATTTTTATAAATTTCCCCCTTCGTTTTCTTTTGTCATCATGACAGGGAGTTGAGTAGACATTGTATGTTTTTCTTCATTGTTTCAGATTTTGAGATACAGAGTGAAAATGGGGAGAACTGTAATCAAGACATGTTTGAGAATGAATCACGTAAGATATTCTCGGAAATGCCTGAAGGTGAAAGTGCTCAGCACTCCGATGGGGAAAGTGACTTTGAGAGAGATGCTGGCATCCAGAGGCTCCAGGGACACAGCCCAGGTGAGGACCACGGGGAGGTGGTTTCTCAGGACAGGGAAGTTGGCCAGCTCATAGGCCTGCAGGGCACCTACCTAGGGGAGAAGCCCTACGAATGTCCCCAGTGTGGGAAGACCTTCAGCCGGAAATCCCACCTCATCACACACGAGAGGACCCACACAGGAGAGAAATACTACAAATGTGATGAATGTGGAAAAAGCTTTAGTGATGGTTCAAATTTTAGTAGACACCAAACCACTCACACCGGGGAGAAGCCCTACAAATGCAGAGACTGTGGGAAGAGCTTTAGCCGGAGTGCCAACCTCATAACCCACCAGAGGATCCACACGGGGGAAAAGCCCTTCCAGTGTGCCGAGTGTGGCAAGAGCTTCAGCAGGAGTCCCAACCTCATTGCACATCAGCGCACCCACACAGGAGAGAAACCCTACTCGTGCCCCGAGTGTGGAAAGAGCTTTGGCAACCGATCCAGCCTTAACACGCATCAGGGGATCCACACTGGAGAAAAGCCCTACGAATGTAAAGAATGCGGCGAAAGCTTTAGTTACAACTCCAATCTAATCAGACACCAGAGAATCCACACAGGAGAGAAACCCTACAAATGTACCGACTGTGGGCAGAGGTTCAGCCAGAGTTCAGCCCTCATCACCCACCGGAGAACCCACACAGGAGAGAAACCCTACCAGTGCAGCGAGTGTGGGAAAAGCTTCAGCCGCAGCTCTAACCTGGCCACACACCGGAGAACCCACATGGTGGAGAAGCCCTATAAGTGTGGGGTGTGTGGGAAGAGCTTCAGCCAGAGCTCCAGTCTGATTGCACACCAGGGCATGCACACAGGGGAGAAACCCTACGAGTGCCTGACATGTGGGGAGAGCTTCAGCTGGAGCTCCAACCTCCTCAAGCACCAGAGGATCCACACGGGAGAGAAACCCTACAAATGCAGCGAGTGTGGGAAATGCTTCAGCCAGCGCTCCCAGCTCGTAGTGCACCAGCGGACCCACACGGGCGAGAAGCCCTACAAATGCCTCATGTGCGGCAAGAGCTTCAGCCGGGGCTCCATTCTGGTCATGCACCAGAGAGCCCATTTGGGAGACAAGCCCTACAGGTGCCCTGAGTGTGGGAAAGGCTTTAGCTGGAACTCAGTCCTCATTATACATCAGCGAATCCACACTGGGGAGAAGCCCTACAAATGCCCCGAGTGTGGCAAAGGCTTCAGCAACAGCTCTAACTTTATCACACATCAGAGAACTCACATGAAAGAGAAACTTTATTGAAGTGGCAAAGAGTGAAAGTGAGGGACTGGCCTGGAGTGGGAGTTGCCACACTGCCCCAACAGTGATTCCCTTTCAAAGAGCTGTGCTTCCTAAACATTCTGGGGGGTTTTGCCAGAGTCTTCCCCTTGCTCATCCTCATTTCCAGGACACTGTCATTTTAGTGGTCTGAGTCAAGTCCCGTATACATTCAAGAACAGGGCATAGGCGTGGAAGGTCTGGAAAGTTGGGTCTTTTTCCCTTACATTGGGTGACTTGATTGGCCCCCTCTCATGATTCCTCTGTGCCTCAGTTTCCTCTTTGGTAAAATGGGGGGAAATGTTTCTCCATGTGGAATGGAAGACAGCATGGCCCACAACGTGGGCCGAGTCCTCAGAGAAATACTGGAAATCATTGGTGTGGTTCTGGTTGTTTTGTTGTTTTGCTGCCACGTTGTTGGGCTAAGGTGCCTTCACCCCAAGCTGTTAGTGTTCCAGGGCACCCCAAGCTGTCAGTTAGAATCTGCTCTTCTGGCTTTGGTGTCTTGGGCTTTGATTTCAGGTCAAGATGGAGGGGCTTCTCCAGTTCTGAGTCACCCACGTGAAGGTAAAGACCCTTTCTATTTCCAGAAAGTGTCAGGAGCACAGAAACTTGAGGAAGTACAGCCTGGAGCCAGTGTCCCAGTGTCCTTTCCATTGGTAAGAGTTGGACAGGGCCTTCAGGAAAGGGGTAAACCGAGGACATTTCAGTGCTTGCTTTTGTCTCTGCCTACTGTCCTGTGGTAGATCAGCTACCAGGGGAACACATTTGTTCTCGTGGGGTTTTGTCCTGGAGAGTGTAGTGAAGTCCGAGAGCCCTAGCTGCCAACCCATGGTGGATGGTAACTTCTGTCTCATCAAGAGTAAAACAGTCCTGCACACAGCAGGGTGGGTTTGTGCCTTTGGCCCAACAGGTACATAGCCCCATAATTTCTGAATTATTCTATGCACTTGTTTCCCTCTTCTTTTATTTTTTATTTGATATATGCCGAGCTAGAATCCTGTCGGGTAGCTTTTGTATACTAAGAACATTATTATTATTATTATTTTTGAGACGGAGTCTCACTCTGTCACCCAGGCTGGAGTGCAGTGGTGCCATCTCAGCTCACTGCAAGCTCCGCCTCCCGGGTTCACGCCATTCTCCTGCCTCAGCCTCCCGAGTAGCTGGGACTACAGGTGCCCACCACCACACCCAGCTAATTTCTTTTTTTGTATTTTTAGTAGAGACGGGGTTTCACCGCGTTAGCCAGGATGGTTTCGATCTCCTGTCCTCGTGATCTGCCCGCCTTGGCCTCCCGAAGTGCTGGGATTACAGGCGTGAGCCAGCGCACCCGGCCAAGAACATTATTTTTAAAGAAGTGTTAACTTTGAGGACATATCTGTTCCCTGGAGATATTTGGGCTTGAATCAGGAGTTTGTCCTACAGGTGTCGCCCTTGATCTCAGGATGCTACCAGGGCTTTGTTCTCGGGATCCTCGCACCTGGAGAGTGAAGACGGGCATGACGGCAGGTGAAGGGGTTTGCTGTGAAGGAAGAGGAGATAAGGCATTTCCAGGAAATGGGAAACTGCCTCCTCCTACACATGGGGCCTGTGCTCAGAATGGGCTTAGTTCTTATAGGATGGATGCTCAGTATTCCTTAATAAAGTAGAGTTCCATTCTTTTCCTGAGTCTGTCTTTTACTGTGTTAAAAACCTGAACTAGGCTGGGCGTGGTGGCTCACACCTGTAATCCCAACACTTTGGGAGGCTGAGGCGGGTGGATCACGAGGTCAGGAGATCGAGACCATCCTGGCTAACACGGTGAAACCCCGTCTACTAAAAATACAAAAAATTAGCCGGGTGTGGTGGCGGGCACCTGTAGTCCCAGCTACTTGGGAGGCTCAGGCAGGAGAATGGCATGAACCCAGGAGGCGGAGCTTGCAGTGAGCCGAGATCGCACCACTGCACTGCAGCCTGGGTGACAGAGCAAGACTCCATCTCAAAAAAAAAAAAGTCTACAATAAATGGTAAAAAGAGCTGGCACAGTGGCTCACACCTGCAATCCCAACACTTTGGGAGGCCGAGGTGGGTGGCTTGCCTGAGCTCAGGAGTTCGAGACCTCCCTGGGCAACATGGCAAAACCTCATCTCTACAAAAAATACAAAAAGTAGCTGGGCGTGGTGGCAGGCGCCTGTAGTTCCAGCTACTCTGGAGGCTGAGACAGGAGAATCGCTTGAACCCGGGAGGCAGGGGTTGCAGTGAGCCGAGGTCGCCCCGCTGCACTCCAACCTGGGTGAGAGAGCAAGATTCTGTCTTCAAAAGGAAAAGAAAAAGAGAAAAAAAAAAAAAGCAAAACATAACCAAAAACACAATTGCTTCACCCTCAACGTGGCCCTCTGGTCCACCTCTGCAAGTCTTTTACCTGACTTTCGTCACTTCCCTTTCCCAGTCCCCACAATGGCTGTGTACCCTTTGGCCATTCTCAGAATGTCAGCTCCCAGGCTCAGCTCACATCTGAGAACCCTGAACCCGTCAGGTGTGAACTCCCGCTGTTTCCCACCTCCAGGCCAACAAACTCTCTGCGCTCCCTCAGCCTCTCACCTCTACGCTCAGCCTGGAGCTATGCTTTCAGCTTCATAGTAACCTCCACCCGGAGCTTCCCCTCCACTTCTCCAGGATCAGGACCTTGCCCCATCAGCTCTTTCCTGTCTTGATTTCAAGTCTCTCTTGGCTTCTTCCTGCCACCTACTCACCTGCTGAAGTTGTTCCTGGAATCTCAAACTCAGCATGTCCCCTGACTGCCTCTCCTTGCCTTTCCTCTTTGTGAGTAGCACCGCCACCTATCCTGCCTCACCCAATCCCAAAACCTGGGATCATCCAAGATGCCTTCCTCCCTCAGAGCCATTCATTCGGGAACCACAGCGTGCACATTCTGCCTCCCTACTCAGCATTCCCAGCCTCAAAGCCCCTGGCAGAGTTCAGACCTTTGCCTGGCAGCTGCCACAGCCCTTCCTGGTTGCTTCCCGGCAATTTTACTTCCGTTTCCTGCCTCAGCCTCTTGAGTATCTGGGATTACAGGCATGCGCCACCACTACTTCCTTCCTGGTTGCTTCCCGGCAATTCTACTTCCATTTCCCATATGGCTGTGGGATATTTTATCAAGAGGGTGAAAAAGGAAAAAGGACAAAAGTGAGATTTTGTCCAAAGATCTGAAATAGCTTAACTGGGCCAGGGAGCAGGGAGGCTAGAACCGCCCTCCATTTGGTAATCTCCAAGGCCATCTGTGAGAGACTATGGAGACTATGGGTACAGCAAACCCAGGACATGGGGCCCCTGCTGAACTTTCTGGTTATGAGACAGGACACCCTTCAGGGATAAAGGGCCAGGAAGGACAATCACAAGTCACATGTAAGGAATGACCAGTTACAGTTGTGGATTGTCCTGACACTAGCTAGAGAGAAGACTAAACATTGTAGCTAATATATCTTTCTTTTTTTTTTTTTTTGAGCTGGTGCTCTGTTGCCCAGGCTGGAGTGTAGTGGCACCATCTCAGGTCACTGCGACCTCCGCCTCCTGGGTTCAAGCGATCCTCCTGTCTTTCAGCTTCATTGTAACCTCCACCTCCCTATGCCTGCCTCTCCATGTTGCAGCTAGAGTGAGCATTCTTTCACAGCAGAACTGAGCCGGCTACCACCTAGCTTAAGCCCTGAGGGGCTCCCCATCACCTACAGAAAGGCCATACTGCTCAACAGCAGATGAGGCCTTCCCATAGGGAACCTCTGTGGAAACTCATCACATTCATTCCTTGCCTTGCCCTGGTCATCACACCTCTGTGCCCTTGACCATTCTTATCCCCAGCCAGCTCCCGATCACTATGCACAGCTGAGCCTTGCCTCAGTGCCCCTGTTCACCCTGCTCCCTTTTCTGGAACGCCGGGCCTCCCTGTTTGCCGGGGCCCGCCTGCCCATTTTTGAAGATGCAGCTTGGGCACCACCTCCTCCAGGAGGCCTCCTCCCTGCACTTCCCTGGCAGACTTGACCCTGCCTGTGGGCCCTTGCACTCTCCAGCTCAGTGCCATGACTCTCGTTACGTTGATCTGTTACACGTCCTCCCTACTTCATCCTGCCCCCTCCCTCCCTTCCATTTTTTATGTTCATACCCATCCTGAGGTTCCCAGCTCCAGGAACCTCCAGCTCTAGTACCCAGCTCAGTGCTTGTGATGGGAACTCAGGAAATATTTGCCAGTTGGTTCTCTTCATAGAAATGCAAGAAGCAGTCTGGGCGTGGTGGCTCACACCTGTAATCCCAGCATTTTGGGAGGCCAAAGCAGGCGGATCAGCTGAGGTCAGGAGTTCAAGACCAGCCTGGCCAACATGACAAAACCCCGTCTCTACTAAAAATACAAAATTAGCTAGGCATGGTGGCACATGCCTGTAATCCCAGCTACTCGAGAGGCTGAGGCAGGAGAATTGCTCAAACCCAGGAGGCAGAGGTTGCAGTGAGCCAAGATCACGCTGCCATTGCACTCCAGCCTGGGCAACAAGAGCGAAACTCTGTCTAAAAAAAAAAGAAATGCAAGAGACAGATGAAGCCCATGATTCTGGCCTGGATAGTGGATTAGGTTTCCTGCGCGTTCCTTGGTCAGATGATAAATGTTAGTTTTTACTTCAGTGCCCTCTTAGTATTTACCTATGTAAGTTATGCACACAGATGAAGACATTTGTAAAAACCAACCCACCAATATTCTAATGAAACAACTTATAGTTTTGAAATGTCACAGATAATCAAAAGCCCATGGAAAACCATGCATATTGTAGCCAAATCTGTAGTACACAATTTATTTTTTTTAATAGAGACAGGATCTCACTATGTTGCCCAGGCTGGTCTTGAACTCCTGGGCTCAGGCAATCCACTCGCCTCAGACTCCCAAAGTGCTGAGATCACAGGTGTGAGCCACTGCACCCGGTCTTTTTTTTTTTTTTTTTTTTTAATAGAGACAGGGTCTCTTACTGTGTTGCTCAGGCTTGTCTCAAACTTCTGGGCTCAAGCGATCCTCTCACCTTGGCCTCCCAAAGTGCTGGGATAACAGGCATGAGCCACCACTCGGCTCACAATTTTTTTTTTCTGTTTTTTCTGTTTGGACAAGCGGTGAACCCTCAGAGACTTTATCTTACTCTTATCCTTTAATACAGTGAATCTATATAACTATATCCAGAGACAGTTCCCTTTGTTTTAAATTGTTATTGGGCCGGGCATGGCGGCTCACACCTGTAAACCCAGCACTTTAGGAGGCCAAGGTGGGCAGATCATTTGAGGTCGGGAGTTCGAGAGCAGCCTGGCCAACACAGTGAAACCCCATCTCTACTAAAAATACAAAAATTAGCTGGGCATGGTGGCGGGCACCTGTAGTCCCAGATACTTGGGAGGCTGAGGCAAGAGAATCACTTGAATCCGGGAGGTCGAGGTTGCAGTGAGCCAAGATCGCACCACTGCACTCCAGCCTGGGTGACAGAGCAAGACTTGGTCTCAAAAATAAATACATAAATTGTTATTAATATATAGCAGACAAGTGTACACAAATGTACAGCTCATTGAGTTTTTACAAACTGCACACACTTGTGTAACCAGCACCCAGATCAAGAAACTACTTACCAGGGCCAGGCGCTCCTGCCTATAATCCTAACTCTTTGGGAGGCCGAGGTGGGTGGATCACTTGAGGTCAGAAGTTCAAGACCAGCCTGGCCAACATGGTGAAACCCCACCTCTACTAAAAATAAAAAAATTAGCCAGGTGTGGTGGCGCCTACCTGTTGTCTCAGCTACTCAAGAGGCTGAGGCAAGACAATCACTTGAACCCAGGAGGTGGAGCTTGCAGTGAGCTGAGATGGCGCCACTGTACTCCAGCCTGGACAACAGAACAAGACTCTATCTCAAAAAAAAAAAAAAAAAAAAATCGCTTACCAGGACCCCAGAAGGTATTCCCCTTCCAGGCAGTACCTTGTCTCCCTCTTAACCCTGTCCTGAAGTTTGTGACATAGTAGAGAGTATTGAGCACTGGACAGATCTAGTTGTAGACAAACTTCTGCCACTAACTACATACCTTCATTTTTATTAGAGATTTTATAATTTGAGGCAAGCTATAATGAGATGACTTTTTTTATTCATGGAATTTTGCTTCACTTGGGTTGCATTATATACTTTACAATAAACCAGAAGAGCTTATAGTGACAAAATGGACAGAGCAGTTACCATGCGCCAGGCACTGTGCTAAGGTCTTTACCTGCCATCTCATTTAATCCTGACAGCCCTAGGAGGGAGGTAAGTATCCTCACTCTACAGGTAAGAAAATGGAGGCTCAGAGGAGAGGTTTGGTCAGTTACCTGCCCCACACCTGTTACTTAACCATGACTCCTGAAGTCCACTGTTAAAGCCATGAGAAATACCTAATAGGAACAAATGGATAAAAGAACAAAACATTAAGATAAAAATGATACATTAGTGGCCAGGCACGGTGGGCTCACTCCTGTAATCTCAGAACTTTGGGAGGCCAAAGTGGGTGGGTCACTTGAGGTGAGGAGTTTGAGAGCAGCCTGACCAACATAGGGAAACCCCATCTCTACTAAAAATACAAAAAAATAGCTGAGCATGGTGGTGTGCACCTGTAGTCCCAGCTACTCAGGAAGCTGAGGCAGGAGGATCACTTGAACTCGGGAGGCAGAGGTTGTAGTGACCTGAGATGGTGCCACTGCACTCCAGCCCGGGCAACAGAGCAAAGACTCCATCTCAAAAAAAAAAAAAAAAGATATATTAGCTACAATGTTTAGTCTTCTCTCTTCATTGACAATAATTTGGCATCTGAACACATGGGGCCTCAGAGAGGACTGAGAACCCTGAAGTAGTTGCCTGAATTTGGAGCTACGGTACCAGTAGGGGTCCTTGAAAGCCCCCCCTGCAGATTACTTGAGCCCAGGAGTTCAAGACCAGCCTTGGCAACATGGCCAAACCTCATCTCTACAAAACGTACAAAAATTAGCCTGGCATGGTGGTGCGGGCCTATAGTCCCAGCTCTTCGGAGGTTGAGGCAGGAAGATTGCCTGAGTTCAGGGAGGCCAGGGCTGCAGTGAGCGATGATCAGGCCCAGAATCCAGCCGGGCAACAGAGAGAGACCCTGTCTCAAAAATAAATAAATAAATAAATAAATAAATAAATAAATAAATAAAGGCCTCACCGACTTTCAGCTTCTCCTCCTAGTAAGTCCTCCTGAGCCCTGGACCTCTCGTTTGGTTGATGGTCCTTGGTTTATTGTGAGCTGTTGCTTTTTTTTTTTTTTCTCCTAGGAAGAGGTTGTTTAGGATCCTAATTGTAGTTCGGAGGTTCATTCTAAAGGTTCTTCTCGATTCCCTTTTTCTAAAGACAAGGAGAACGACCCCCTTGCAGGCACCCCGTTTGGTTTCTAGTTTGGAAGTGCATTCTAAAGGGTCTTCTCCATGGCTTTTTCTCCCAAATTAAGTTCAGTGGGTTTGTCTGCACTGAGACTTTTTGTTGACACTAAGTTAAGAGGGATAGAAGGAATTTCCATGGCCCTGCTTCGCAACTGATTCTCTAGAAAGCCCTTTCTGTTATCCTGTCCTTCCCTCACCTAACCACAGGCTGCTCCTACTGTGGGGGCAAGCACAGCTCTCCCCACCTTCATTGAATTTGAACCTTTCATCTGTTAAATAAGAAGTGAAACCTACAATGCAGGGTTCCAGGTTTCCTTCTCAGAACCAAACCAGATAAAATGTGTAAAGTAGGTCCTTTCCCTGAGGCTGCACGATTCTGGGCTCTCCCAGCCCTTCCTTGGTTTTTTTTTTTTTTTTTTTTTGAAACAGTCTCCCTCTGTCACCCAGGCTGGAGTTCAGTGGCATGATTTCAGCTCACTACAATCTCTGCCTCCCCGGTTCAAGCGATTCTCCTGCTTCAGCCTCCTGAGTAGCTGGGATTACCACCACACCAAGCTAATTTTTTTGTATTTTTACTAGATTTGGGGTTTCACCATGTTGGCCAGGCTGGTCTCGAACTCCTGACCTCAAGTGACCGGCCCGCCTTGGCATCCCAAAGTGCTGGGATTACAGGCGTGAGCCACTGCACCGGTCCGTCCCTGGTATTTCTATCAAGTCATTTCCTTTGAACACACCTCCATTTAGCACGTAGCATTTCGCAAAGCATTTAATAGCACTGCATTGTAGTTATTTGGGTTGCACATAACTCCGTGGCAGCGTTTTAGAAAATGCACCCTCCGCTGCATTGCATTCCTTAAGAGGAAGGAGTGTCTCCTTTTTTTTTCTCCCACCACAGCACACTCGCTGCCTGGTGCTTGGCCCGAATTGCTCCCCAACTGTTGAATGAAAGTCAATGGTATTAATCTCGAATGACCCAGGACTGTGCAAGCAGGAAATGAGGAATTGTGTGAGTGGTAAGTGAGGGGGGGAGGAACAGAGTGGTAAAGCATTACCACAGCTACCAACCATGCCAGAGAAAAGCACTTTAAGTGGCAGAAAACCTTAACTGGAGTCCCAGCTTCGTAAGGGCAGAGACCTCAGTCCCAAGCTGTCTCGATATATTCATCTGCATAGTAAGGATAAATAGGGACTAACAGGGTTAAACAGCTGCCCTCGGCCCTAAGTGAAAATACTTTATAAACTGGCGTGGCAGCTCATGCCTATAATCCCAGCACTTTGAGAGGCCCACGAGTTCAAAACCAGCCTGGGCAACATAGTTAGACCTCGTCTCTATTAAAAACAAAACAAAGGCCGGGCGCGGTGGCTCGCGCCTGTAATCCCAGCACTTTGGGAGGCCAAGGCAGGTGGATCATGAGGTCAGGAGCTCAAGACCAGCCTGGCCAAAATGGTGAAACGCCGTCGCTACTAAAAATACAAAAAAAAAAAAAAAAATCAGCCGGGAGTGGTGGTGGGTGCCTTGTAATCCCAGCTACTCGGGAGGCTGAGGCAGAGAACTGCTCGCACCCGGGAGGCGGAAGTTGCAGTGAGCCGAGATCGCGCCACTGCACTCCAGCCTGGGCGACAGAGCGAGACTCCGCTTCAAAATAAATAAATAAATAAAAAATAAAAAACAAAACAAAACAAAAAATTTTTGTAAAGACCCCTCTCGCTCATACCACCAGGGCCGCGCAGGGCGAGAGATCTCCACCTCCCCTGGGAGGCAAGACCCACACCCTCCCAGGTGCGCGAGTTGTGGCTGCGGTTCGCGACCCCGCCCCACTTACCCAGCTGGTAGAAAAGTCATCAATGATTCGTCTGAAACGAATAGGCGCCTGAGATATTCTCCCATTTTATGGGCTAACGCTGCTGTCTGTCTTCGGGCGGCGGCCTCTGGGAAATGTAGTTCCGGAGAACACGGAGTCCTTCTGGGGCTAGGTTTTCCGCTTCCGGTGCTCAGTGGCTAGCCGAATAGCCGTGTTTGGGACCTGGGCTCGGGCTTCTTGCGTCCCCGCTAAGAACATGTCACGGGGCCGAATCGTCCGTATTCTCTCAGCTTCAAGCTCCTCTACTTTTCAACCAGGTCACTAGCCCTTGACTCCTCTTATCAAACTTCCGGAACTGCCACCCCACCAGTGACTCCACAGGCACCAGGGCATGCAACAGGGCTGGGACAGGAAGGCTCTCTTCTTCACCTCAAGCCTGCTGGGCTAACACTTGCGATTTTTACTAGAGTTAACTTTGTAATGTATGTCTCTGACTCTAGAATTTCAAGAGAAGTTCCACTTAGTGACTCCTAAGTGGAAGTTCTAAGATGGCTTCCCAGTGAGGTGATGAAGAGGTTTGAGCTTTAGAGTGCGGTTGCAAAGCTCTTCTCTGACCTGAACAATGGCTGTAGCTGTGGACCAACAAATCCAGACTCCTTCAGTACAAGATCTCCAAATAGTTAAACTGGAAGAAGATTCCCACTGGGAGCAGGAAATTTCCCTTCAAGGGAATTACCCTGGACCAGAGACATCCTGCCAGAGCTTTTGGCATTTCCGTTACCAAGAAGCATCACGACCCCGAGAGGCCCTCCTCCAGCTCCAGAAGCTCTGTTGTCAGTGGCTAAGGCCAGAGAAGTGTACAAAAGAGCAGATCCTGGAGTTGCTGGTCCTAGAACAGTTCCCGACTGTCCTTCTCCAGGAGATCCAGATCTGGGTCAGACAGCAGCATCCGGAGAGTGGAGAGGAGGCAGTGGCCCTGGTGGAAGACTTGCAGAAAGAACCTGGAAGACAGAGGCTGGAGGTGAGCTATAAAAACATAGTTCCGAACAGTTAAAATAGAGGTATGTGAGAGACAGAGCTGCCTTGGGTTACTAGCAGTGTGGGCATACTTCACTATTGATGTTAAACTGGAATTTGCTTATTTCGTGGTCATGGTATCTGCAACTTTCCTTCCAAGTTCAGGCTGACTCTTCAGAGAATGCACAACATTGGCTGCTCTGAGTGTCCGTCCCTGCCATTAAATAAGAAAATTGCTTAAAATGGTATGAGCCTCACTGTGATCAGGGAGGAGCACATGTGACAGGGATGTCTTTTTGGAGAACAGCTCTCACTCTGTAGCAGCCAGCCAGAGGCAAGCGGCTTCGGTGGTCTTTGTCGACATTATTGAGCCTATTGCAAAACACCTGAATTATCCTATGTCTTTTTGCCTAGGGTTTGGCAAGGCAGGTAGGAGCAGTCCCCAGAGAGCTGGGTGGCCAGGATGCAGTGGTCCATGGCCTTATCTCCATAAAGCCTTCCACATGTCTGCCGTCTTTACTGCTGTTGCAGGCTTTTGCATAAGACTGGCTTTTTCCTCTGCTTTTTTTTTTTTTTTTTTTTTTTTGGAAAGGGAGTCTCGCTCTGTCACCCAGGCTGGAGTGCAGTGGTGCCATCTCGGGTCATTGCAACCTCCGCCAACCGGGTTCAAGCGAGTCTCCTGCCTCAGCCTCCCTAGTAGCTGGGACTACAGGCGCCCACCACCACGCCCGGCTAATTTTTGTATTTTTAGTAGAGACTGGGTTTCACCATATTGGCCAGGCTGGCCTCGAACTCCTGACCTTGTGATCCACCCACCTCGGCCTCCCAAAGTGTTGGGATTACAGGCGTGAGCCACTGCACCCAACCTTTCCTCTGCTTTTTTATGTTTGGGATGTTTAAGTTTTAGTCCCTACAGAATTTTGACCACTTCCAGTCCTTGAAGAGGGACAGGATGTGCTCTCAAAGAAGGAGCCCTCAGGATCAGTACTGAGTTCTCTAAACATCCATCCGAAGCAAGCACAGACAGAATCTGTCTGTTCCAGGCAATGGTGAAGTTCACAGCAGAACCAGAGGAACAGTTGAAGCACAGCCCCAAAATAGAACGAACTCTAGCCCGTCCGCAAGAGTGATAAGAAATCGCAGTGTGGGCCCACGCGCGCCGCACGGCCGGGTCGCCGCCGTACCGTGGTGTACGTGCAGAATGCGCAGAGCGAGCGGCACCCGCTTACCCTGCGCTCCTCCGCAGCCTGGGCCGGGCCGCCCGGGACGCTGAGGCGGTGGCGGCAGCCGAGGGGGCCGGTCTTGCGCTCCGCAGGCTCGCGCGCCCGAGCCCGGGTTGCCGTTCGCCGCACAGGCCGCGTTCTCTCAGCCCACGGCGGCGATTAGGCGCTGAGGCGGCCGCCTGCGCTGCGCCGGAGCCTAGGACTCGGAAGCGACCCGGCCGAGGGCCCTGGGTGCCAGCCTCCTTGAGTCAAGGGTAGCGGGTGCATGGCGCAGTGACGGCCCCTATCTCTCTCTCCGCTCCCCAGCCTCGGGCGAGGCCGTCCGGCCGCACCCCTCCTGCTCAGCTGCGGTCGCCATGGCCAATGACAGCTGCGGGCCCGGCGAGCCGAGCTCGAGCGAGCGAGACCGGCAGTACTGCGAGCTGTGCGGGAAGATGGAGAACCTGCTGCGCTGCAGCCGCAGCTCCTTCTGCTGCAAGGAGCGCCAGCGCCAGGACTGGAAGAAGCACAAGCTCGTGTGCCAGGGCAGCGAGGGCGCCCTCGGCCACGGAGGGGGCCCTCACCAGGACTCCGGCCCCGCGCCGCCCGCTGCAGCGCCGCCGTCCAGGGACCGGGCCCTGGAGGCCAGGAAGGCAGCGAGGCGCCGGGACAGCGCCTCCGGGGACGCAGCCAAGGCAAAGGCCAAGTCCGCGGCCGACCCCGCGGCGGCCGCGTCCCCGCCTCGCGCGTCCCCGGGCCGGACAAAAGCCATGGCTGCTTGTTATCCGGTCAATGGAACGGGTTATGTACGTCATGTTGATAATCCAAATGGAGACGGAAGACGTGTGAAATGTATTACATTACGTTAAAGAACGGGATGCCAAGGTAAGTGGAGGTATACTTCGAATTTTTCTAGAAGGTAAAGCCTAGTTTGCTGACATTGAACCCAAATTTGATAGACTGCTGTTTTTCTGGTCTGACCATCGCAACCCTCATGAAGTACAACCAGCATATGCTACAAAGTACGCAATAACTGTTTGGTATTTGATGCAGATGAGAGAGCACGAGCTAAAGTAAAATATCTAACAGGTGAAAAAGGTGTGAGGATTGAACTCAATAAACCTTCAGATTCAGTCAGTAAAGACGTCTTATAGAGCCTTTGATCCAGCAATACCCCACTTCACCTACAATAATTGTTGACGCTATTTGTTAATTTGTGAATACGAATAAATGGGATAAAGAAAAATAGACAACCAGTTCGCATTTTAGTAAGGAAACAAACAACTTTGTGTGTTGCATCAAACAGAAGATTCTGACTGCTGTGACTTTGTACCGCATGATCAACTTAGAATCTGTGATTGCTTACAGGAAGAAGATAAGCTACTAATAGAAAATGTTTTTACCTCTGGATATGAAATAAGTGCCCTGTGTAGAATTTTTTTCATTCTTATATTTTGCCAGATCTGTTACGTAGCTGAGTTAATTTCATCTCTACTTTTTTAATATATGTCAAGTTTGAATTGGAATAATTTTTCTATGATTAGGTACAATTTATCAAAACTGAATTGAGAAAAAATTACAGTATTTCTCAAAATAACGTCAATCTATTTTTGTAAACCTCTTCATACTATTAAATTTTGCCCTAAAAGACCTCTTAATAATGATTGTTGCCAGTGACTGATTAATTTTATTTTACTTAAAATAAGAAAAGGAGCACTTTAATTACAACTGAAAAATCAGATTGTTTTGCAGTCCTTCCTATCTTACACTAATTTGAACTCTTAAAGATTGCTGCTTTTTTTTGATATTGTCAATAATGAAACCCAATTGTAAAACAGTCACCATTTACTACCAGTAACTTTTAGTTAATGTCTTACAAGGAAAAAGACACAATAAGAAGAGTTTAATTTTTTTTTTTTTTTTGAGTCTTGCTCTGTTACCCAGGCTGGAGTGCAGTGGTGCATTCTCAGCTCACTGCAACCCCACTGTCTCCCAGGTTCAAGCAATCCTCCCGCCTCAGCCTCACAACTAGCTGGGACTACAGGCACATACCACCATGCCTGGCTAATTTTTGTATTTTTAGTAGAGACTGGGTTTCACCATGTTGCCTAGGCTGGGGTTTAAGTTAAATTTTTTTAAAAACTAAAGTGACTGGCACTAAGTGAACTTGAGATTATCCTCAGCTTCAAGTTCCTAAGATAAGGGCTTTCTTAAGCTTTCAGATACATGTATCCTCTAGATGTAGACAATAATGTCCCATTTCTAAGTCTTTTCCTTTGCTTCTCCTTAAGTTGATTGTACTTCCAAATTTGCTGTTATTTTTTTTCCTAATACTGTGATTTATTTGATCTACAGACAGGAACCTTGTCTCTGTTGAAGAGCATCAAGGGAAGATTACATACGCCTTGAAACCGAAGTGTGTTGTTACCGACTTAATGTGCAGTAACTCCTCAGATATCTGTTAAGGCACTTCCCAGATGTGATGCCAGTCTTCTTACCTGTACTGAAAGATGTTTAGCTTAGAAAAAAAAAAAAGTGCAAAATCAGATTTAAAAAAAAAAAAAGTAGCAGCAGTGTGGGGAGGAAGGAAGTACCCTTCTGTGGGGAGGGCATAGAAGTACTCTGTGAGTGCAGAAAGTGGGGTAGAAGGTACAGCTCCCTTCTACTTAGAAGATTGGTGTGTTGACCTCAGGCTGACCGCATGAATTTCTGGGATCCTAAATGGGCACCTCCAAAGTGAAGAAGGACCTCGGTTGGCATGTTTTGTAAAACAACATAGGGGAGCCTGTAGCACCTTTCCTTATGTGAGTCAGAGATTACCGGTCCCAATAGGTTACAGTTGGAGACAGATTTTAGGTCTGGTTGGTGGGAAGGGCAAAAGGGTAGGGTTAAACTAAGGTGCAGTAATCCTTAAAACAGTTAAGTGTCCCCAGACCAATTTAGATGACTCAGGTGTGTTATCAAAACTGAAAAACAAGGCCAGTTATGGTGGCTCATGCCTGTAATTCCAGTACTTTGGAGGCTGAGGTGGGTGGATTGCTTGAGCCCAGGAGTTCAGAGATGAGCCTGGGCAATATGGTGAAACTCCGTCTCCTCTAAAAATACAAAAAAAAAAAAAAAAAAAATTAGCCGGGCATGGTGGCAGGCACCTGTAGTCCCAGCTACTCAGAAGGCTGAGGTGGGAGGATCACCTGAGCCCAGGAGGTTAAGGCTGCGGTAAGCCAAGGTCACGCCACTGCACTCCAGCCTGGGCGACAGATCGAGGCCCTGTCTCAAAAAAACAAAAAGCAAACAAAAAACCTGAAAAACAAAATCATAAAACCCTGACAGTCAGTACCTAGATGGATATGGAGGGGAAAACCTAAAACTTTCATTTTAGAAACGTTTCATTTTGGCTGGGCATGGTGGCTCACGCCTGTAATCCCAGCACTTTGGGAGGCAGAGGCGGGCGGATCATGAGGTCAGGAGATCGAGACCATCCTGGCTAACACAGTGAAACCCCGTCTCTACTAAAAATACAAAAAATTAGCCGGGTGTGGTGGTGGGCACCTGTAGTCCCAGCTACTCAGGAGGCTGAGGCAGGAGAATGGCCTGAACCTGGGAGGCGGAGCTTGCAGTGAGCTGAGATTGTGCCACTGCACTCCAGCCTGGGCGACAGAGTGAGACTCCGTCTCAAAAAAAAAAAAAAAAAGAAATGTTTCATTTTGGTTTTTCACCAACCTTCCTTTGATAGGACAAAGCAGATACTAAGAGGGGGAGGAAAGGCTGTTCTGTGTCTGAACCCAGTTGGGCTAGTCCCCAAGAGGAGCTGAGAGCCATGTACTCTAATGCCTCCCTTTTCTTCCCCCAGCCCTGCCTGATGTGGCTCTGGGAATTCCTGCAGAGAAGAGCAGGGGTGGCCAGGAGATAGTGAGCAGCTCCCAGGTGAGTCAGCCATTTCTCTTATATAGATCACCTTTTCTCTCTCTCTTTTTTTTTTAATAGAAATATAACTCTTGAGGCACAGCTCAGTTTTCTCCTTTTGGGAAAACGATTAAGTCATTTGTCTTTACAGATTATATTTCTTTTTTTTTAAATTTTCTCTTTTTATTATACTTTAAGTTCTGGGGTACATGTGCAGAACATGCAGGTTTGTTACATAGGTACACACGTGCCATGGTGGTTTGCTGCACCCACCAACCCATCGTCTACATTAGGTATTTCTCCTAATGCTCTCCCTCCCCTAGCCCCCAATCCCCCTCAGGTCACCTTTTACTACCCAAGTGGGGCTCCTGCAACCAACTCTCTTGCCGCTCAGAAATTCCAAAAGAATTTTACCCAGCAGGGAGGCCCAGTAACTTTACAATTTAGGCTCCAAAATTTCATCAGCCTGCAAAAGGTTGCCCAAATCTCCTTACCCATATGAGGCCAGTGCCATGGCTGTGGTAATGAGGGATTGCATTAAAATTATTCTTTTCTTTGACCCTGAAATCATCAGATTCTACTGATCTGCTTGTTTGCCTTAAAGATACTGGTTACTTCATTCTGTGTCGGGATCTTGCTCACATGGCATGCAGTACTGTGTAGTGGAGGAAAAAAAACAAAAACCAAAAGCTTCAGAGTCCAACAGCCTTGAGTTGAATTCCCAGCCATACCCTGGACTTGCTGTGTAACTCTGGGCAAGTCTGAGAAGCTTCTGGCTCAGTGCATAATGTCAGCTTGTTTCTTTTCTGTCTCCTCCTGCCCGCTTGATTGCATTTAAAAGCCAAAATAATCACTGTTTCATTTCTTCTGTTGTGTCACTTGCCCTGACTCAGGCATTAGAGAGGCATTTTGTTCTGAGGCCATGTGTTTTGAGAAGGGGTGTTGTTTCCTCAGGAGCTAGTGACACCTGGTGATTCGGCTGTGTATATCTCCTAGGAGGCATGGAGGGATCCAGAACCTGGACTGAAGAACCACCTAGAAATAACTCAGCAGAATTCTGAAAATGAGGTCACGCTGGGTAAGAATGCCTTTTTTTTTTTTTCATAGTCAAAGTTAGCTATGGAGTTTCTGTAGTATTCACTACTCCAGACCTTTTTCAAGTTGAATTTTTTTTCTTTTTCCCTATGTCTGTTCTTACGTATTTTTTTTAAACTTTTATTTCAGTAGTGTTTGGGGAACAAGTAGTGTTTGGTTGCATGGAAAAGTTCTTCAGTGGTGATTTCTGAGATTTTGGTGCACCCATCACCCAAGGGTAGTCTTTTTTATCCATCAAGTCTGTACCCAATGTGTAGTCTTTGTTTTTTTCTTTTTTTTTTTTTTGAGACTGAGTCTCATTCTATCACCCAGGCTGGAGTGGAGTGGTATGATCTTGACTCACTGCAACATCTGCCTCCCGGGTTCAAGTGATTCTCCTGCCTCAGCCTCCTGAGTCGCTGGGATTACAGAGATGTGCCACCACGCCCAGCTAATTTTTGTATTTTTTTTTTTTTTTTTTGGCAGAGATGGGGTTTCACCATGTTGGCCAGGCTGGTCTTGAACTCCTGACCTTAAGTAATCTGCCTGCCTCGGCCTCCCAAAGTGCTGGGATTACAGGCCTGAGCCACCACGGGGCCCCAGTGTGCAGTCTTTTATCCCCTCAGTCTGTACCCAGTGTGTAGTCTTTTATCCCTCACCCCCCTGCTCCCACCCTTTCCCCCTGGGTTGAATATTTCAAATCTATTTCTTCCTTAAATCTTACTCAAAGGAAATCCAATACCATAGTCAGTTTCACCAAGGATGAATTTCTTGACCCAGAAAGGAAAGCTCATTTTAGGGAGATGGTCAGTTTAGGTATGTGTCTGAATTTTATTTAAGATAGATGAACGTGGATATATAGTTATGCATTTGGGCCTGAATTTTTTTTTCTAGTTGTTCTTTTCACTGAGCTTTCCCAAGAATCCCCCCAGAATTAAAAAAAAAAAATTACTATCTCCTCTCCCTGGCATATAAAATGGTTGGGATTAGATTTACCAAACCATTACATCTCCCTTTTGTCTGCCTGCAAACAGATTTTCCAATCCATAGGCCCAAAGTGAACTCCCACGTGGAGTAGGATGAAAACCCACAGCATCTAGATCTTCAAATTCTGGAGAAAAAGAGAGTGTGAAAGACTGCTCAGTGGCTGGGGTGAGAGTCAAGTCTGGCCAGGTGCTAATCTGGAGAAAAGCCAAGACCTGGAGCGAGCTGGAGTGGCAGGCCCTGGAGGATGAGAAGGTGGCAGGAGTGCACTGGGGATACAAAGAAACCAAGATTTTTCTGGGAATTCTCAGAGGCCTGGATCCACGAAAAACTCCGCACCTGCCATCGAAACCACCAGGTGTACCGGATTATGGCTGAGCAGCTGTGAGAACATGGCTTCCTGTGGACCCTGGAGCAATGTTGCTATCGGTTCAAAAACCTCCTGACCGACTACTGCAAAGCCAGGAGCACCTACACACCAGGCACCAGTGTCTTCTATGATGAGATGGATGCCCTGTTGAGTCTTGGGGCACTTTCTAACACCTTTGATGCCTTAGAGGTGGTAGGAGGCCTTCTTTGGGATTGAGAGGATTCCAAAGGGAACCAGGGCATAGCACTAGAAGATGTGGCGGGATGGTAATGAAATAGTGGAGGAGTCTCAAGAGGAATCCTGGAGGCTTGGTCCCCAGGCCTTGAGGTGGAATCCCAGTGGCAACTCTCCCCCACAATGGACCTCAGAGCAGTGGGAGCGACGCAGTCCTGTGGGAAGCATTCAGGCTCAGAATCAGGAGATGTGATTATTGTCCTGGCTCTGTTATGACTAATTTGGGTCTGGAATGGCCTCATCGGGGGAAAAATTGGTGACAACTTTAAGAAATACTGTTTATATCCCGTCCTCAAATATTGCTTGACTCAACCCTCTACTGAACCAGTAGTCCAGGGTGGCTCACAAAGACCACTTTGAGGCTCTTGCTCTGCTCTTTAGCCAAGGAGTCTCCCTTCCTGCCTTCAGTAACAACATTACAGGAAGAGAGGAGAGAAAGGTAGGAGTTAAAGATCCAGTCATTTGTTTCCATCTAAAGTGCCCTATAAGCCGGGCATGGTGGCGCAAGCCTGTAGTCCCAGCTACTCGGGAGGCTGGGGCAGGAGAATCACTTGAGCCCAGGAGTTGGAGGCCGCAGTGAGCTGTGATCATGCCACTGCATTCCAGCCTGGGCGACAGAGTGAGACCCAGACTCAGCTGAAAAATAATAATATTATTAAAAGAATTTAAAATAAAGTGTTCCATAGATGTGAACCCTGCGTAGATTATACACACCAGTCTGCCATTTAAAAGGTTTGTTGTTCTTGGGCAACCTCTTTAAATACCCTTAGCCTCCATTTTCTCATCTGGACAGTGGACATTGTGATGGTTTCTACCTCCCTGGGCTGTTATGAGGATCCTGACACAGTATTAGCACTTGGCAAACGTTAGTTTTCATTATCATCATCATTATAATTATTATGAAAATAGATAAGGGCATTATCCTGTACCCTCAAAGGAGTAAAAGGGGGAAAATGAGTCATTAAACTTTCTCTTCTGGGAACTAGACCTTCTTGAGAGGCACTATCATTCTCATTTCACCTGTCACTTCCAGACATGGGAGCAGAAAGTGAATTTCAGAACTCCATGTCCCCTCCTGCTTTTCTCTGAGCAGGACTTCCAGTTCCCCAGCCAGATGGGGTCACAATGCTGCAGAAAAGTGAAGAGCTTTGGAATGAAGATCTCCCGGACTTCAAGGAGATTCAGAAAACGTCCAGTGCAGGTGGGAAATGAATGGGAGCTAGCATTCCACCAACAAAGTCAGCCCTGGGATTCTAAACTCGGACAAGCCAGCACTGGTTAAGGGCTGAGGGGAACCAGGCACTCAGTGCACCCAGTTTACTATTCTGTGGTGTGGAAAGCACAGGACTTGAGAAGCAGGTGGCACCCAGGAAAGCCTGTTCCCCTAAGTAAGTTTGAACTTTAGTTACTTGAAAAAAGGTATAACTGAATTATGAGTGTTTATGATTTTATCTTTATTTTATTTTTTTTGAGATGGAGTCTCACCCTGTCACCCAGGCTGGAATGCAGTGGCACAATCTCGGTTCACTGCAGCCTCTACCTCTCAGGTTCAAGCAATTCTCCTGCCTCACCCTCCTGAGTAGTGGGGATTACAGGTGTGCCACCACCATGCCCGTCTCTAATTTTTATATTTTTAGTAGAGACGGGGTTTCACCATGTTGGCCAGGCTGGTCTTGAACTCCTGACCTCAAGTGATCCACCCACCTTGGCCCCCCACAAAGTGCTGGGATTACAGGCGTGAGCCACTGTGCCTGGTCTATCTTTAAATTCCTATCTGAATTTGTTTAGGTTTTTTAAATAAAAATCTTTCTTTTTTTTTAGAGACAGGGGTTCACCATGGTGCCCAGGCTGATCTCGAACTCCTCCTGGACTCAAGCTATCCTCCCACCTCAGCCTCCCAAAGTACTGGGATTACAGACATGAGCCACATGCTTGACCTGAATTTTAACTGCAGTTAATTATCACTTAACCAGCGAATTCACACAGGAGAAATCCCCTGGCCGGGCGCGGTGGCTCACACCTGTAATCCCAGCTCTTCGGGAGGCCGAGGTGGGTAGATCACAAGGTCAAGAGATCAAGACCATTCTGGCCAACATGGTGAAACTCCGTCTGTACCAAAAATACAAAAATTACCTGGGCATGGTGGTACGTGCCTGTAATCCCAGCTACTTGGCAGGCTGAGGCAGGAGCATTGCTTGAACCCATGAGGTGGAGGTTGCAGTGAGCCGAGATCACGCCACTGCACTCAAGCCTGGGTGACAGAGCAAGACTCCATCTCTACTACAAAAAAAAAAAAAAAAAAAATTCAACCACCTTAGGAAGCCTCTCATTTATGTATTTCTAGCATGTAATTAGTGTTGCACATGGGAAGGGCTAATAGATGCTGACAGAGTGAACAACTTATCTATTTTGTGTGTGTGTGTGTAACAGGGTCTCATTCTGTTGCCCAGGCTGGAATACAGTGGCATGATCACAGCTCACTGCAAACTTCAACTGCCAGGCTCAGGCAACCCTCCCACCTCAGCCTCTTGAATAGCTGGGACTGCAGGCTCATACCACCACAACCAGCTAACTTGTATTTTTAGTAGAGACAAGGTTTCGCCATGTTGCTCAGGCTAGTCTCGAACTCCTGGACTCAAGTGATCCACCTGTCTTGGCTGCCTACATTGCTGGGATTACAGGCATGAGCCACCATGCCCAGCCAAATTTTTTTTTTTTTTTAAGGGAAGGGATCTTGCTATGTTGCCCAGGCTGGTCTCAAACTCCTCAGCTCAAGCAATCTGCCCACCTCAGCCTCTGAAAGTGCTGGGATTACAGGCATGAGCCACCATGTCCAGCACACTTTAATATTCACTATGGGCCCTCAAAAGGAAATGTTTGTGGGGCCACCAAAAGCAAATGTCTCTTGAACCTAGTCACCTGGGGGGACAAGTGTGGGAAAGTGCACCTGTGTTCCCATGAGACCCACTCAAGAGGAGCAGAAATCCTGTTTTGCTATTTCCTTAATTGCTACTAGGGCTGGGATTTTTTCATGTTTATTGGCCCCTCTACATTTTTTTCTTTAAAAAAATTCACAAAGCATGTTTATATTTGTTAGCTCTTTTGATTCTCCCTATGATAGTGTGAAGACAGGGACAAAACGCTACCATTTCACACTCCCAGATCTAACAATAGCTACCAAGTAATTATGCCATGCGTTTCTTCTAACCTTCGCAATATCACTACGAGGTAGTTCTTACTATCCTCATTTTACAGATAAGGAAACTGAGGCTAAGTGACGCTGGCAGACTTGCCCAAGGCCACACAGCTGGTAACAGGGACTGGTAGTCACTTGAGTCCTACATGAGCACCCTTGCTACTACAGCAGCTCCTCCCCTTTCTAGAGGCCTAGATGGAAAGATGCTGGTGTCAGCGGGGGGCACAAAGGTCCACCCAGTCCCACACATGCAGAGAGGCATCATTTGTTGCTGATAACAAAGTCCTTGGTCTGCAGGGATGCCAGGTGTGGGTGGTGACCAAAGGAGCAGGGTCCATCCCATTTCCATCTAGGAAGATGTGACCTCTGTGAGTGAAGAGAGGTTCTACTTGGCTCCGTGTTCCATCTTGGCTCCGTGTTCCATCCCAAGATGTGGCATCATAGACCTGGACTGTACCATCAAAACCTGAGAATACAGAAAAGAGAGGCTTGACAATGAGTCCCTAATTTTATTTTAAAATAATTTTCTTTCTATTTTTAATAGAGATGGGGTTTCACCATGTTGACCAGGATGGTCTTGAACTCCTAGCCTCAAGCGATCCTCCCATCTCAGCCTCCCAAAATGCTGGGATTACAGGCACCCAGCCCCTAAAATACTTTTTATAATTTGTTCTATGGTACCAAAACAGGCTATTGGATGAGGAATCAAGGCACTTAAAAGGCTAACCACGGGCAAGTAGCATCTGCCCTCAGTGTTGGCAGCTGATGACTCCGTGGGGCATGTAACCATGAGCATCCGTTGTGCACCTGTTATGCGTGAGGCTCGAAGGCTAATTCTGGACAAGTATTAGCTCTTTTAATCCTCAGAACTGTATGACACAGATACTGTTATTTTACCCAGGAAACTGAGGCTTAAGAGACTTCTTCAAACCTTTTCAAGTTGCCCCAGAGTCCAGTCCCCTACCTCTGGGTCCCTTTCAGCAGATGGCCTTGTCTCCTACTCGATGGGGGAAACAGAAGCCTTTGGAGAGAAATACCTTCACGTCCCTGCACGATCTAGCTGCACACACACTCATTCCATCCTGCCATCTTCCTGGTACTGAAGAGCCAGCCCCTCTACCTGAGCTTGGCTCTTCTGTTCTTTCTGGATCCTGGCATTTCCAATCATCCTTTCTTGCTCTCTTAATGATTTTTTTCAACCCCCACCTGCCTCGACGGATCCTTCCTGTTGGCTTTTAGATACCCACATTAAGTGCCGCAAGCAACTAGCTACCACCAGACCAGAACCAGGGGCCTGCTGACCTAGCTGGCTTGCTACTTTTTTTTTTTTTTTTTTTTTTGAGACAGAGTCTTGCTCTGTCGCCAGTCTGGAGTGCAGTGGCGTCATCTCAGCTCACTGCAACCTCTGACTCCCGGGTTCAAGCGATTCCCCTGCCTCAGCCTCCCAAGTAGGTGGGACTACAGGCGTGCACCAAAACACCCGGCTAATTTTTTTTATTTTCATAGAGACGGGGTTTCACCATGTTGGCCACGATGGTCTCGATCTCCTGACCTTGTGATCCACCCGCCTCGACCTCCCAAAGTGCTGGGATTATAGGTGTGAGCCACCGCACCCGGCCAACTTGCTACATTTCAAAAGGCAAGTAGGCTGAGAAGTACCCTTGAGGTGCTGTCCCTGCTGCTTTTTTTTTTTTTTTCTTTTTTTTTCTTTTTGAGACAGTCTCGCTCTGTTGCCCAGGCTGGAGTGCAGTGGTGCAATCTCAGCTCACTGCAAGCTCCGCCTCCCAGGTTCACGCCATTCTTCTGCCTCAGCCTCCTAAGTAGCTGGGACTACAGGCGCCTGCCACCATGCCTGGCTAATTTTTTGTATTTTTAGTAGGGACGGGGTTTCACCGTGTTAGCCACTGTCCCCTTTTCTTTCTGACCCAGCCCGATGTCTGTCCCAGTGTCTTACTGTCTGCAGGCCCCTCCACCAACCTGAGACCTGAATTCCTGCTAGGCTAGGAAAGGCCTGCTGCCAATGTGTGGAAGTTTAGTAGCCAGGGTAGGAAAAGGCCTGCCACTGAAGAACCTGGAGAGTTCGAATTTCTCTGTGAGCAACTTTAACTCCTGGAGCCAGGTTTATCATGGTGCTGGAGGCTCCTTCCTGAGCACCCAACAGTCTCCTGGAAGAAAGAGATCAGATAACAAGACGAAATCCTGCTCGGCAGTACCTGAGATGGCCAAGCAATTCTTCAGGCCTGGGGCCCAAGTCACTCGCAGCAGCTCTGGGTCAGGGCTAGGTACGGATACTGGGCACTGGACTGAGCTCACAGGATGGCAGAGATCCCGGGGGTCAAGAAGACAAAGACGCCCATCTGAGCCAAGGCTGGCAATGCTGGGCCCAGGGCCCTGGCCCCAGCTCCCAACTTCAGCACACCATCTCTCTCCACCAGACCCAGGGCCAGGGCTGCGATTCTCCAACGGTGCCCACTTCTGCCGGGTGTCAACAAGCCCCAGCCGGCCTGAAGCACAGCAGAAGGCAAAGGTGTCTGCATCTAGGACCTGCAGGCTACTCAGCTCCTCACTGTCACTGACATCTGGAAGACCGACAGCAAAGGAGACAAGCGGCTGGAGGCAGATGGGTCTGGCAATTTGGCAGGGCTGGCTGGTCACAGGTCCCTTCCCACCAGTCCCAGGCAGAATAAATCACATCTCCCTTCCCACTCATCTCACCATTGTCTGCTCAGCTGGTTGGGTGCTGGTCCCTGGGACTGCCTAATCCTGCCCCAGCATAGGAGCCCTTAGAGGCCAGGGCTTACCTCTTATTCACTGTGTATCCCCAACACCTGGCACAGAGAGTTGAACTCAGTTTTTATAGTGGCTGAGTTGGGCTGGGGGGTGATGCCGGCTGGAGCAGCAAGCAAGGGACAAAGTACCACGGTACCTGAGGTGTACGTGGTCTTCCGGGACTCCAGATCAACGACCTGCAGACTTCGGAGCCTCGCCCCATGGAGGACTCCGGGTGCCAATGTGGAGAAGACGGCCACCCTAGGCCAGAGACTCTCCTCTTTCTCATGCACAGCAATGGTGCTGACAGCTTTAATGACATCTAGGGGAAAACGAAGAGGCCAAAATCCAGAACTTTAATGAAGGTTTGAAACATGACAGGCTGCCAGCTGTCTTCCCCTGTACATTTAGAAGATCAAGGAAGAAAAGGAGCTGCCGGCTGGCAAGAGATGATGTTGAGACATAACTACTCTGGCTTATGTTTACATTTTTGAAACCATCAGAAACATTTCAATTTCTTTATTATTTGTCTTATAAACTGTTTTTTGCAAATGGAAGACAATGCCATCTCAAAACCCAAAAAGCAATTCTGGCTTTTTATACTTTTGTGGAGAACAGGTAGAAGACAAGAAAAGGAATGAACATGCTGCTGATGTCACTTACCCCTTCAGCGACAAGAAACAGGTACAGAATTCATGAACTGATATTATTTCTTCAAAAACATGTTCCATGACCTCGAGTGACTTGCTAAAGCCTAGCAAGTACAGGTCACATTACAGATGTCATTGTCTTGTAAGGTGGACAAGAAAGTCCACATCTTTTTTACACTGAATGGAACATCCTTGGCTTTGAGTCAAGTTTTGTTTTGGTTCTTTTGTTTTTTTGAGACAGAGTCTCACTCTGTTGCCCAGGCTGGAGTCCAGTGGCACAATCTCAGCTCACTGCAGCCTCCGCCTCTCAGGTTCAAGAAATTCTTCTGCCTCAGCCTCCTGAGTAGCTGGAATTACAGATGTGCACCCTCATGCCCAGCTAATTTTTTTGTATTTTTAGTAGAGACGGGGTTTCGCCATGTTGCTCGGGCTGGGCTCAAACTCCTGGTCAGGTGACCCACCTACCTTGGCCTCCCAAAGTGCTGGGATTACAGGCATGAGCCACTGCGCCCAGCCAAGTTTTAGTTTTTATTTGGTTGTCTCCACCTGCTTGGTTAGCAGGGAGGTTCTCCTCTCTGTATTCTACATCTGAGGCTTCTCTTAATATATGCTTAATGCTGCCAAAGAGGTGAGCTCACCTGAGCAGCCTAAGCTCTGCTGTTGCCACTGCCCCTGCCTAGGGAGAGTAGTTCTCTGGATGAACTCAATTCCAGGAGCAGGTTACAGGAAGCTCCATTTGGGGCTTGGATGCCATGCTATGGTTGCTAATTCACCTTGTCTGCATTAAAGTAGATTAATTCCCACCTGGCTCTGAGTCTACTACTACTTTTTTTTTTGGAGACGGAGTTTTGCTCTTGTTGCCCAGGCTGGAGTGCAGTGGCATGATCTCGGCTCACTGTAACCTCCGCCTCCCAGGTTCAAGCAATTCTCCTGCCTCAGTCTCCCCAGTAGCAGGGATTACAGGTGCCTACCACCATGCCCGGCTAATTTTTTGTATTTTTAATAGAGACAGGTTTCACCATGTTGTACAAGGTGGTCTTCAACTCCTGAATTCAAGTGATCCACCCAGCTCAGCCTCCCAAAGTGCTACAATTACAGGCATGAGACTGTCCCCAGCCTGAGTCTCCTTCTTAACTGGCTCAGATTAGGGGACAGGGGTGTATGAGTCACACTTTCCTAGAACCCCAAACCCCATCAAGTCAAATTCACTCACCACTGTCCTCTGCAACCTGCCACACCTGCAGATAACAACCTGGAAGGCCACTGGTAACCAGCAATCTATTCAGAAAAGACAAAATCAGTCCAGACCATGGGGAGCTTATCCACACAGGTCCCTTCCCCTTTCCAGCACACTTAGCTTGGGACTCCACTTCCCATATCAGGACATCTTACTGCAAGATCATCAAGGCCAACCACCCTCATTTCACAGATAAGGAGCAGGCTCAATCAACTTTAGGGAGACTGAGCCCAAGCTTCCATGTGTCATGATGGTCACCTACAGAGGACACAAGTATGGGGCCAAACACAACCTGACCCAGAGACTCTTGGCCTCTCCCAACTGAGCAATTATCACCCAAGAGCAATAGAAGAGCATCTTTCTGTCCCGTATCTATTCCCTGGAGCAACTCCGGTAGAACTGTTACTTACATTAGTCCAAGGGCTCTGGGGGGCTATGAAGCCACAGCAGTGGTTTCTTTGTATTCTAAATCTGTGTGTATCTGTGTGCACACACTTGTGCACTCACATGTGCCTGTGTGCTGAGGGGGTGGGAATGGAGATGAGGAGGCAGAATACCCCCAGGCATTTGCAGCCATCCCATCCCATCCTGTGTGGATGGCTGGATCACAAAATTGACCATACCTGGTATGTGGCACATGCTTTAGATCAAAGATAGACCTGTCTGAAAATCCTCCATGGCGCACTTTGAAATCTCTTTCTGGGAATAAGCCCTAAAATACAAAGGAGTAGCCAATCAGAGCCAGCTCTTCAAATGAACATTTCAGAGGAACTCTAAGTGAGGAGTCAGGTCCTAGCCTGGCAGGAGGCCATGGAAGCCACTCAGCTGGTGAAAGGGCGTTGGTGTCCTGGTATTTGGCAATGTTGGTCTCAGCTGCCTACACGTACAGCTTCCTTTTTCCTTTGCACATCCAAAACCCTTCTCCTAGCCTTTCACTAGCCCCTTTTACTACAGCACAAGCATTATACTCCAGGCCTTCCTAGAGAAGCCAGAGAAGCTTAACAGCTTCATCAAAGAGAGCAATGAACACATCCCCATTTCTCCCTCCATTCTCCCGCTGGAAGTCAGGTGGGTTCCTCTAACGATAAAAATTAACAATTACAACTTATCAGTATTCACTGTGTCAGGCGCAGTGTTTAGGGCTTTATCACATTTAATTCTTACAACCTCCTATGATATAGGTACTATAATTATCCCTATTCTACAAATGACACAACTAAGGCACAAGGAGCTTCAGCCACTTATATAAGGTCATACAAGTATTAAGTTGTGAATTTGAACCAAAGTCTGTCTAACCCAAGTCCACACTGTTAGCCACTAGGCTCTACTATCTCCATGTAAGGAACCAGAGGCAAGGGAAAAGGAGGTGGCCATAGAAGAAACAAGGCAAAGCTGGTGGTGAGCGGGGAGGTTAAATCAGTTCTCACAGCTAGGCTCAGTCTGGGTGAACCCCTGACTCAAGCCTGACTGGAGATGGGGAAGATGAAGAACACTAGGTGCTACCCTATAGCTTCTGTAGCCTCTGGGTTTTATGAGTACAAATTTGGCTTTTTTTTTTTTTTTAACTTTTTTTTGAGACAGAGTCTCACTCTGTAGCCCAGGCTGGAGGGCAGTGGCGTGATCTTGGCTCACTGCAACCTCTGTCTCCCCAGTTTAAGCTATTCTCCTGCCTCAGCCTCCTGAGTAGCTGGGACTACAGGTGTGCACCACCACACCCAGTTAATTTTTGTATTTTTAGTAGAGACAGGGTTTTGCCATGTTGCCCAGGCTGGTCTCGAACTCCCAACCTCAGGTGATCCGCCTGCCTCAGCCTCCCAAAGTGCTGGGATTACAGACATAAGCCACCACACCTGGTCTTTTTTAACTTTTTAAATTTTGTGAAGAGATGGGCTTGCCATGTTGTCCAGGCTGGACTTGAACTCCTAGGCTCAAGCAGTCCACCGCCTCAGCTTCAAAAAGTGCTGGGATTACAGGTGTGAGTCACCATGTCAGTCTACAAACTTGGCATTTTTCCTAAGCTTTCCCTCTTGAGATTATAATTCAGTATGTTTGGGAAGTATGCTAGGAATATGCATTTTAGCCAGCACTCCTAATGGCCCTGGTAGGGTGGTCCTCAGGCTACTTTGATAAAAACTGGGCCACATCTGCATGGGATCTAGCCTCTCCCAGGCTGAACAATGTTTTTCTATGTCCTTGTCTAGCCTCTTAGCCTCTTCTCTTCTAAACAATTAGACTCAACTCCATAACATGGTGAGGCCCTAAGATAAATTTATTTACTTATTTTTGTGAGACGGAGTGTCATGCTGTTACCTAGGCTGGAAGTGCAGTGGTGCCATCTCAGGTCACTGCAACCTCTGCCTCCTGGGTTTAAGGGATTCTCTGGTGCCTCAGCCTCCCCTGAGTAGCTGGGATTAAAGGCATATACCACCACACCCGGCTAATTTTCTTTTTCTTTTTCTTTTTTTTGAGACGGAGTCTCACTCTGTCACCCAGGCTGGATGCAGTGGCTTGATGTTGGCTCACTGCAAGCTCCACCTCCCAGGTTCAAGCAATTCTTCTGCCTCAGCCTCCTGAGTAGCTGGTACTACAGGCGCATGCCACCACACCCGGCTAATTTTTGTATTATTAGTAGAGATGGGGTTTCACCATATTGGCCAGACTGGTCTCGAACTCCTGACCTTGTGATCCGCCCACCTCAGCCTCCCAAAGTGCTGGGATTACAGGTGTGAGCCACGCGCCTGGCCAAATTTGTTTTATTTTTAGTAGAGATGGGGTTTCACCATGTTGGCCAGGCTGGTCTTGAACTTCTGGCCTCTAGTGATCTGCCCACGTTGGTCTCCCGCTCCCAAGGTGCTGGGATTACAGGCATGAGTCACCGCACTCGGATTGTTTCCTATTTCATTAAATAATTTAAAACAAAACAAAATAAAAAAGGCCAAGTGCGGTGGTTCACACCTGGAATCCCAGCACTTTGGGAGGCAGGAGGATTGCTTGAGCTCAGGAGTTTGAGAACAGCTTGGCAAGACCCCGTCCCTACCAAAAAATACAAAAATTAACCAGGTGTGGTGGCACATGCCTGTGGTCCCAACTACTCGGGATGCTGAAGTGGGAGGATGGCTTGAGCCCAGGAGGCAGAGGTTGCAGTGAGCTGAGATCGCGCCACTGCACTCCAGCCTAGGTGACAGAGTGAGACCTCAAAAAAAAAAAAAAATTTTTTTAAGAAGTTTGGGGCCAGGAGTGATGGCTCATGCCAGTAATCCCAGCACTTTGGGAGGCCGAAGCAGGCGGATCACTTGAAGCCAAGCGTTCGAGACCAGCCTGGCCAACACAGTGAAACCTCATCTCTACAAAAAAATTTAACAATTAGCCAAGCATGGTGGCACATGCCTGTAGTCCCAGCTACTTGGGAGGCTGAGGCGGGAGGATCACTTGAGCCTGGGAGGTTTAGACTGTAGTGAGCCAGGGATCGCGCCACTGCACTCCAGCCTGGGTGACAGAGCAAGCCCTTGTCTCAAAACAAAAAGGAATTCAGGAGCAAACACTCAAATTCCTGCCCCCACATGGCCCTTCAAGGTCATCTGCCTGCATGCCTCACTCCTCCCTTGTCCTCTGATGACTAATACCATCCCCTGGACTCCTGATCTATCCTCACCTTCTATTCCTGGAAGCAGGAGCGTGTTCCCTGTGATATTCCCTCATTTTCACCCTCTCCCTCTTCAAGGGTTACTTTCCCATAGCTTCTAACTCTGCTCAAGCCTCTGTGTTTAGGAAACCTTCCCTCAGATCTGTGTTTCCGACTAGTTGCTGCTTTAGCTTCTTCCCTCCCTACATTTCGTGACTCTGCTTCCTCTTCATTTTTAGTCTTTGGGCCTGACCACCACCAGCAAAAATCCTGTAGCAGAGGTCACCAAGAGTTTCCCAATTGCCAGTCTTATGAATGAACTCAATTCCTCATCTGAATGATTTTTTTTTTTGAGATGCAGTCTTGCTGTTGCCCAGGCTGGAGTGCAGTGGCACGATCTCAGCTCACTACAACCTCCGCCTCCCGGGTTCAAGCAATTCTCCTGCCTCAGCCTCCTGAGTAGCTGGGATTACAGGTGTGCGCCACCATGCCTGGCTAATTTTTGTATTTTTAGTAGAGACGGGGTTTCACCATGTTGGTCAGGATGGTCCCGAACTCCTGACCTCATGATCCGCCCAACTCGGCCTCCCAAAGTGCTGGGATTACAGGCGTAAGCCACTGCACCTGGCCTTCAATTCTTCTCTCAATGATTTTATTGGAACTCTAGACAGCTACTAACTCTTTTTTTCTTGAGAAGTTCTCTTCTCTTGGCTTCAGAAACATTGACCTTTTCTGAGATTCCTCTTACCTCAGAGGCTGTTCTTTCTTAGTATTCTTTGGGGAGGGGGGGTGCATCTTCCTGTACTCATCCCTTAAATGTGTTCCCTGAGGTTCCGTCCTCACTATATTCTCCTCACTCCTTATATACCACACATTCACTAGGTGACTTTAATCACTCTACGCATTTCGACCGCCCTCTATATCCTTAATCGCTCCCTAAATCTATTTCTGATAAAGTATAACTGACCTCCTCCTCTGATAGCCCTCTGTAAACCACGAGACATTCTACAGCATTTATCTCTGTGCATATGTGCCTCCCTCTGTTAGACTAGAAGGGCAGGCCTAGCGCTTTCTCTCTTTCTAGTATCCAGGACAATACCTGGTAGATAACAGGAGCTCCACAAATGTTTAATAAATAAATAAAAGTTGACATACTCAGCATTTATATTTTAAGTTACCTTGTTTTCCTTTACAGAAAGTCTGAGAGGTAATTTCAGATGAAGAATTTCATTCTTTTTCAGGCTTTCATAGCCAGCAACAAAGACTCCTGGAAAAAGAAGCAGAGGTAGCTGTCACAAATTGTTAGAAAGATTGCAGACCATGCAATCCCCCGAAGTAAGGATACATTCCTTCACTGTGCAGCCTTGTATGGAGGAATTGAGTACCTGGTTGTGTCTTTTTCAGACAAGGTCTCGCTGTGTCAGCCAGGCTGGAGTGCAGTGGTCCGATCACAGCTCACTGCAGCCTCAACCTGCCAGGCTCAAGTGATCCTCCCACCACAGCCTTCAGAGTAGCTGGGATTATAGGCGTGAGCCACCATGCTCGGCTAATTTTTGTATTTTTTGTAGAGACAGGGTTTCCTTGCTTAGGTTAGTCTCAAATTCCTGGGATCAAGCAATCTGCCCGCTGCCTCAGCCTCCTGAAGTGCCCAGCCTGAAGACTTTTTTTGTTAGCCACGCTGGAATACAGTGTCGTGATCTCAGCTCACTGCAACCTCCACCTCCTGGGTTCAAGTGATTCTCCTGCCTCAGCCTCCCCAGTAGCTGCTGGTACACAGGTGTGCACCACCTCGTCCGGCTAATTTTTGTATTTTCAGTAGAGACGGGGTTTCACCATGTTGGCCAGACTGGTCTCGAACTCCTGACCTCAGGTGATCCGCCTGCCTCGGCCTCCCAAAGTGCTGGGATTACAGGCGTGAACCACTGCTCCCGGTCAGAGATCTTAATAAGAGGAATATTAGTGCTGATGGGGCATCAAATTGCTACAAGTGACTCTCAGGTGCCCAGAAGAGTGGGTTGGGTCCCTCTAGGCTTAGCTCCTGAAACCCAGCTCAGGAGTGAGATTCCCTCTCCTTCAGGGCTAGAAAGGTATACCACCTTTGTCATCAATCCATTCAAGGACTCGAGTGGCTCCTGACAGGTCGAATGCATAGAAATCCTGGTACCTGCACAAAAGGGACACAGAATCACACGATGCACAGCACTTCACAGCTCAAAGAACTCCAAGATGGCAGCCGCATGGTTCAGTGGCCCAAACTCTGGAGTCAGGCAGACGTGGGACTGAGTTTACTTCCCATTTTACTCCCTGTTTCTGGGACCAGGCCAGTCCCTTGATGTCCCTGAGCCTCGGTCCTCATGTGTGGACGTCCCAGGGTACCCAGATTTCCCAAGGTTGACGTGAGGAATCAATGAGATCATCTGTGTTCTGAGCTGAACTCAGAGGCTGGCGCAAACTAACTGGGCACTGCGTCTTCACAAGCGCGGCTCTTACTAGTAATCTCACAACGCGCGCACGCAGGAAGGAGCCATTTCCTAGAGATGGGGGCCTAGGCCCAGGCGGAGTCCTCCACGGTGGCGAGCCCCGAGGCCACAGCTGGCCCACTCTGCACCAGGATCCCCAACGTGCCTCCACCCACACCCATCCGCCCGCCAGGCAAGCTCCAGGCCCAGCTCCCATGTCCCAGCCCCGTACGATTTACAAGCGCAAGGATTCCACCAGCCAGTCGTCCCCAGGATCCATGGCAACGACCGCTTCCGGCGTCTCACTTCCGCCTGCGAGCCTTCGGGGGCCGCGCGGCTCTCGCGAGATGTGGGCAGGGCCTCCCGTTAGGGGCGGGGTTAACAGGCTGAGCTGCGGCCCGGCATGGGTGGGTTACGGGTTTTCTCCGCGAAAGCTCCGGGAAAAGTGACCTGAAATCGGGACTTTCCCGCTGTCAGCTCCAAGCAGGACCTGAGGACCAAATGATCGCCCGTTTTAGGGCCAGGTGTTTGCAGCCCAAGAGAGGGGCAATGAATGCTCCAAGGCCAGAAATAATACAGGACCGCCCGGTTAAATTCGAATTTCAGAAAAACGGTGAATAATTTCTTTCTTACGAGTATGTTCATGCAATATTTGGTACATTTTATTAGATAAAATTATTGTTTATCTGAAATTCGAATTTAACTGGGTGTCCAGTATTTTTATTTGCTAACGCTGGCAACCCTTCTGACGGCCAGAGAAGAGAGGAAGCGGCCGGCAGGGTCTGGATCCCAACTCGGCGCTCCCCTCCAAGTCCGGCGGGGGTATTGAGTAAAGCCCGGCAGTGTAGTGTCTGCAGCCCCCTTTTACTAGCGAGGAAACTAGTGACACTTGCCTGCGCCAGTAGGTGGCAGAGATGAGAGTAGAACCCCGCGCCTGGCACGAAGCCTGGCATGCAACAGGCGTTATTTGCTTGCTGAATGAATGGGTAGGAGGCCAGAGTCAGTGCCAGGCTGGTGCCATGGCATGGGGTATTCTGGACTTTTTGAGCCAGCCCCATCTCACTGAACACTCTGCCCTCCAGCCCCCTTTTCCTCCCATCCCCTAAAAGACGGGTGAAAGGAGAGGACCAGGCATTGTATGTAAAGAGCAAGGTTTTATTCACCAATTCAACAGGGAAGCAGGAAATACAGCAGGAACATAATCTGTGTCTGCATCAGCGATATTTCTGGTGACCCAGCCAGAAATCACAGTAATGGAGTAACAGAGATTTGAGCTCAGGATTTACATCCAGATGGGGCCATCAACAGGGTCCCATTCAGCACCTTCCCTGGGTGGGCACAATCTAAGCCACGCTGTTGTGTCTGCCCCATTATTGGTGTCATTTCTGCAGTATTTGTACCAGCAGCCTCCTGTACTGAAGAGAAACATACAGAAGAATTGAGCCAGGGAGGGGCTCCTGATAAAGATAGGGGCATCCTGCCATTCCTAAGTGCCAGATGTCTGCAGAGGTGGGCACCAGCAGGCTGTCAGCTGAGGCAGGCCCCAGAGCACCCTGAATTGCCTTGGAGGGGTCGGGGCAGTAGTTTTCTCAGAACACAGCCCCAACCACCCAGGGTGGTCATGACAGTCAAAGAAGATCGTGGAAGAAAATCCAAATACAGTGCTTGGTGCTGGGCTAGTGTCAGCGTCCTCACTCCCCCACCCCAGCTCTGCCCCAGACCTCACTCTGAAGCCCCAGACGTAGGCACTGCTGCTTCTGAGATTCTCTAGTTGGTCTGCATGTGTCAGAGCTTCAAAACCAAGGGCATTAGAGGTGACATTGTTTCCCTTCAGACTCAGCCAGCCCAAGCTCCTAGGCCTTACATCTGAGGTCCTCAGGGGCTGCTGGTTCTGTGCCTCAGGAAGTCAGGGATGTTGGTTGAGGCTGGGTTGGACCTTTTCTAGGGAATGCCTCTCCCTTCAAAATGCACACACTATATGCTAGGCACACTGGGGGATATGAAGGCGAGTCTACAACAGGTGCCGCCAGGGAGCTCACAGACTGATAAGAGCTCGCATCTACTAAGGGCTGTCTATGAGCCAGGCACCATGCTGAGCATTTGACATAAATGGTCTCATTTAATGGGAGATGGGCCTTATTATCTTCATTTTATGGGTGAAGAATATTGAGGCTTTAGAGAAGTTAAGGGACATTTCTAAGGTCATACAGCTACTAAGTAGCTAGGTTATGAGCCCAGCACGTTGTAGTCAAAACCCACATTCTACCACATCACACTGCCTTCTGCACACAGCAGCAGGACCAGGGAGGGTGGTGTGCAGTAAGGACAGCACCAGGAGCAGGGAATGAAGGAGTTGCCACTCAGCGGGGCTATACCTTGAGGCTAGCTTGGCTCCAGCTTTGGAGTCTTGAATCCCATAGATCAGTGACTGACAACCAATAATGATTTGGGGCCCTCTCCCCCAGCAGACATCTGGTGATGTCTGGAGGTCTTTTCAGTTGTCACAACTTGATGGGGGGGAAAGATGCTACTGGCATCTAGTATGTAGAGACCAGGGATGCTGCCAAACATCCCATGATGCACACGTCAGCCCTCACAAGAAACAGTGATTCAGCCTAGAACGTCAAATGTACTGAAGTTGCTAAACCCTACCACTGGATACTGAGGCAGATGAGAGAATGGGAAGAGCTCCAGTCCAGGTGAACAAGGTCCAGACTCTGTCTTGGCTGCTGACTTCTCTTTCCCTCTCTGGGCCTCAGGGTCCCATTCCGGCCACAAGCATACACAGGACACAGCAAAGGTGGACTTGACTAATGCAGCAGGGAACAGCATGGGTGGGACAAGACTGTGTAGACTGGGGGAGAAAGGTCCTGCTCCAAAAGGCTGATGATCCCAGTCTGTTACTTTAGACTGGGTGATGAGTCAGGGGAACTTCTTTCCCTACTTCTTGCCCCATGGGGTCTACTGGGAAGGTCAGCTTCCTTTCTTTGGACTGTTCCTCCTTTGAGCTCTGCCTCAAGAGGGAAAAGCCTGGAAACCTGGCTTTCTGGGGTCCACACCCATAATGTCCTAGTCAGACAGTCACACCCTAATACAGTACTGGGTGGTAATTCCTCCCATGCAGGATCCGGGGATGGCCCCAGCTGGGCCCTCCTGACATTGGAGCAGGGGCCCGGCTCACCTGGATTTGGGGTGCGGGGCGGCTGAGGCTCACGCCCAGAGCCTTCTTTAGCAGGAGGATTCCGAGCAGATCATGACTCAGCTGCAGTCGCTGGTCCCTCAGGGAGGTGTGGGGAGCTGTCCCCAATGGGGATGGGCTGGAAGGCTCCAGACTCTTCTTGCCCATGAAGTGACCTGGAAAGGAGGTGTCCAGGCACAAGGAAGTCAAGCAGCCAGGATCCTACCTCAGAGGAAAAGTTCCTCATCTCTCCCACGTTTCCGTTCTTGTAGCGGGAAGACACTTAACCTTCCTCCTCTTGGTGCTTCCACCTCACCAAGGAGCCACAAAGGTGTCTGGGTGGTGGCAAAGCCTGCTCCCTCAGCTTTTCCTGAACAGGTAGAGAGGATGGCACAGCTGGCAGGAAGGTGGGATGGTCCAGGGCCAGGGAGAAACTCTGCTAGTTGTGTGGGCTGCTTGGACAAGGGACGAAAAAGGGCAGGGTAGGAAGTGGAGAGTGAAGAGGCGCCTGGAAAGTGGAGGTGCAGCAAAAACACACCAGCGGTTAGAAGATTCGGTTAAGTCTCGCCTAAGGTAAGGGGCACCGGCTGGCAGTGGGATTTAGGATCTAGCCCAGCCCTGTCTTAAACTGGCTGCGCGACCTTAGCCAAGTCACTGACCTGTCCGGGTCTCAAGTACATATCTATTAAATTAGATGAGCCCCAGGGTTTTCCACCTGCTCCGACACTAGTGTCCGTGGCTGAGGAGCGGCCAGAGGGTTGAGAAGGAAATGGGGTCTGAACTGGATGAGGGGCGCTTGCTTGCTCCGTCCCCAAAGACTTACCGGTGGCCCAGAGGTTGCCTCGCGAGTGCACTCGGATCTTGCTGGCTCGGCTGCGGGGCTCCGGGAGATCCCAGCTGAGCGGGGCGACGCCGGCAGCGAGCAGGGCGAAGAGCAGGAGGCTGCCGAACATCCGAGCGCCCCCCGCCCGCCGGGCCATGGCTGTGCCCGGGCCGCGGCTTCGTTCGGGCGCGCTTCCCGGCCGCTGGGCTCCGGGGCTGCCTTCGATCCTTTTAAATCCGCGCCCCTGGGGGCGGAGCCTGCCCTGAGCAGCGGAGCCGTGCCCCGCGCCCGCCGCCCTCCCCGCCGTCCCCACCCTCCCGCTAGGTTACCAGGCAGGGGCACCCCCTTTGGGCCGCCCAGAGACCTGCACACCCACACTCTGGCCCGCACGCGGGCACCGCTTCCGCCAGGGGCTTCTGGCGGAAGCCCGCCACCTTCAGGCTAAGGACCGGGCACCGGCCAAACAGGGGCCCGGCCCCGGCGGCGGAGCCGCTTCCCCTGGCCCTGCCTTGCCACTCTGCCACGGCTTTCGGCCAAATAGGCACTTCAGCCCTCTGAGCCTCTCTTCATGAGGGTAGAGGTCGGGCGAGGAGCTCTCCTCCCGGGTAACAGGCTTTTTTTTTTTTTTTTTTTTTTTTTTCTGAGACAGGATCTGGCAGTATCGCGCAGGTTGGAGTGCGGTGGCGCGATCACGGCTCACTGCAAACTCAACCTCCAGGGCTGGGCTCAAGCCTCAGCCTCCCCAGAAGCTGGGACCACAGGCACACGCCTTCATGCCTGGCTTTTTTTTTTTTTCTTTCCAAGAGACTGGATGTCGCTAGGTTTCCCAGGCTAACAGAGGCATTTTTACAGTGTCCAGCCAAGTGCTAGGCACCAAAGGACTTCCATAAACTAATCCCCATCACCTCCGCCCTTTGGGGGAATCTGACCCGTGTTCACCTTGCTCTCTGCCCTCTCACAGCCAGCATCACAGTCTGGAAATGTTCTGGCACACAGTAGGTGCTCAGAATGGGAATGCAGAATGATGGAGGGTGGGACAAAGGGCCGCTTCTGAGGAACGGGCATCCAGCTGGAGGGCCTGGCTTATGGGCAGGAAGCAGACCTCTGGGTCAAGAAAGTGGAAAGAGCACTGCACCCAGGACTGCACTGCACCCAGGAGTCCATGTACAAGCTGTGACCCGGCTGAACCTCACTTTCTTCAACTGTAAAATGGTAATAACCACACTGCCCTAATTTTAATACTTTTACATGTTTTAGCATAAGTACTCTGTGGCCGGAAGCAACAATTCTGTAGGACCTGCCCTCTCACACCTGGCACTTTGTTCTCCCCAGGAGCTGTCTGGACTTTCTTGGAAAGAACTTCTGGATAAGTGGTATCATATAATGAGCAGAGGAAAACACTGTGCTCCAGAAGAATACATTTATGTTTGCTTAATTAACTGAAACCCATTGTTCAGAGCACTACACTAGACACAAGAAGAGGGGCGACAGATAATTCCTTGCTCCCAAGGGAGTTAACCATCTCATTGGAGAGACAAGTACACAAAGGAGAGAGTGATGGAGGAGCGGGGGTGCAGACCACCCCTTGGACTCTGGATACCTCTGGAACACGGAACAGAGTGGCCGTACCAGAACCTACTCCCATCTGGCTTGATAATGGGACCTGCTTCTAGGACTCTTGCTTAGTATCTAGCTCAGCAAGGTTGCTAGCTCTGTGGATCCTCATCCTAGAAGGGGAAGCTCACATGAAAAACTGGCTGTCATACCCAGCTGGAGGCCCAGCTTCCAGGAGCATGACACACAGGACAGGGACGTTTCATTTCTGGCCCTGGCTTTCCCCCCAATCTCCTTGCTTCTCACCTCCCACCCTGGCATTTACACCTCTCTGCTTTCTTGTCACAGCTTAGCCATGGTGTACAGATATAGCTCTTATCACCTTCCGGTAATCATTCCTTTGTGACCCCCCTCCCTCTCCTCTGCATCCATCAAACCCCCATCCTATCTTCTCTAGTCCATGGATAATAGAAATTAGCGTGAACACACAGAAGCTGGTATTGATTGAGTGCTGCATCACTTAAATGCTTGAAGGAATCTTATTTGGTAGGTTTCTGTCTCCTCATTTTTATAGGTGGGAACAGGCTAAGAGGTTTAGCCACTTTCCCAGAAGTCCCACTGGAATCAGATTTCAGGTCTGTCTGGACCACTGCATCAGGCCCCCAAATCTATGCAGGGCAGATACAACTCTCCCTAAACCACACCCACTCCCATTGTACCATCTCAAATTTCAACACCAAGTTGTGTTTATGTATCTCAGGAGGGAGAGGGAGTGGGCACTGCATTTCGAGTTTCACCTCTCTTCCACAGGTGACTGGACCTTGAGTTCTGCTAAGGTTATTTATACTTAAGCCAAGCTTCCTCTGACACAGCCTGGGTTCACAGCTGCAGCCACAGCTCTGAGGCTGGCCCCAGGCACCCTTGGAACCATTTGCTCTGTCAGCCTACTATAGAAAAAAAAGGGGGGGGGCCTCTGAGGACCCTGGAGAAAACAGCAGGGGAGCACCTCCACAGACTTAGGAGCACTCACCTTAGGGAAAAAAATGGGAGGCACAGGGGAGAAGGTGGCTTGCTCAAGGGAGTGCTAGGCTCTAAGTTTAGCATGAGGACCTCAAATGCCAACTGCCTGTTCCCTAAGTCCACTCTGGTGGCAAGAGAAGTCCAAAGGCCTCCACTCCATGGGGAAAGGCTAGCATTGAATTGAATGGAGGTACGTGGGGAAGCTCTTCAGAACCCACTCTCGACCCTCCTAGGATTCTACAACATTCAAGGACATGCACAGAAAATGTGAGGCAGGTTCACAAAACAACCCATGGGGTAACTAAAAGGGTGAAAGATACATGGCAAATCCTATCATAGCTAACACCAGGAAAATATTTAAAGTACACCAAGTTTTTTAATAAAAAAATTGCTTCATCAAAAATAGCGATTAAGAATGGATATTACAGCCGGGAGCCAGGGCTCGCACCTATAATCTTAGCACTTTGGGAGGCTGAGATGGGCGGATCACCTGAGGCAGGAGTTCGAGACCAACCTGGCCAACATGGTGAAACCTCATCTCTACTAAAAATACAAAAATTAACCGGGCGTGATGGCAACGCACCTGTAATCCCAGGTACTCAGGAGGCCGAGGAAGGAGAATCACTTGAACCTGGGAGGTCAGGGCGGCAGTGAGCCAAGATCGCACTACTGCACTCCAGCCTGGGCAACAAGTGCAAAACTCCGCCACAAAAAAAAAAAAAAAGAAAGAAAGAAAGAAAGAAAAAGAAAATAAATGACAGGAAACCTAGAGTTGTCACAACAGGATGTGTAAAACAGGGGTGTTCAATCTTTTGGCTTCCCTGGGCCACATTGGAAGAGGAATTGTCTTGGGCCACACATAAAATACACTAACATTAATGATAGCCGATGAGCTTAAAAAAAAAAAAAAGTCACACACAAAATAATCTCTTACTGCTTTAGGAAAGCTTACGAATGTGTGTTGGGCTACATCCAAAGCTACTGGGCCGTGGCCGGACGTGGTGGCTCACGCCTGTAATCTCAGCACTTTGGGAGGCTGAGGCGGATGGATCACGAGGTCAGGAGACCGAGACCATCCTGGCTAACATGGTGAAACCCCGTCTCTACTAAAAATACAAAAAATTAGCCGGGTGTGGTGGCGGGTGCCTGTAGTCCCAGCTACTCGGGAGGCTGAGGCAGGAGAATCTCTTGAACCCAGGAGGCGGAGATTGCAGTGAGCCGAGATCGTGCCATTGCACTCCAACCTGGGCAAAAAGAGAGAAACTCCGTCTCAAAAAAAAAAAAAAAAAAAAAAAAAAAAAAAAAAAAAAAAACCTACTGGGCCGCATGTGGCCCGAGGGCCGCGGGTTGGACAGGCTTGGTGTAAAATCTCTATTTTGGCAAATCTTTGAGCACAATCTCCAACTGTATGGGCTGGGGAGATGAAGAGAAACATCCTGGGATATCTCAGGCCCTACTCTTTACTTTCAGAGTGAAGAAGGGACCAGAGAACCAGGAAAACAGCAGAATCTTTAAGGGAAAATCAGGGATATTGGATACAATTTCTTAAACTCAGAGGGAACGCATAGGGATTACCTATAAAATCAGAACAGTAACCTCAAGAAGGAAATCTTTAGTAAATCAAAATTGCCAAAATACAAAAGTTTTTTTTTTTAATTTTTATTTATTTATTTTTTTTTGAGACAAGGTCTTGCTCTGTTGCCCAGGCTGGAGTGCAATGGCATGATTTCAGCTCACTGCAACCTCTACCTCTCAGGCTCAAGCAATTCTCCTGTCTCAGCTTCCACTGCGCCCGGCTAACAAAATGTTTTCTTAAAGGCAATATTTGAAAAAAAGAAAATACCTACACCTAATGAGAACGTGATCATGACTCCAATGGTGGCTAAAAAACAAAGGCTGCTGATCAGCTAACTGATGCAGTACTCAGGAAAGCTATGAAAACCTAAGGAAGTGAGAAGCCCCAGGCCCAGCATTCTTAATTATTTGGGAGTAATATTCACATATGTTAGGGGACATTTCTGTAACTGGAATGAATACTCTTTAATCTCCAAAGAGGTTTAAATGCTTGGAAATCTGCCACAGAATCTCACTATTTCTAAGAGACTAATAATCTGAGCAATTCTGCACAAGAAAAACCTAGAGCCTCTAAAGAAGAATTC